>NT_187384.1:102116-158458 GCF_000001405.40 Homo sapiens | reverse complement strand
ACCCGGAATGCAATCATCAGCGAATGGAATTGAATGGAATCATTGAATGGGCTCGAATAGAATCATCATCGAATGGAATCGAATGGAATCATAATCGAATATAATAAAAAGCAATCATCAAATGGATTCGAATAGAATCATCAAATGGCTCGAATGGAATTATCATCGAATGGAATCAAATGGAATCATCTAAGGGACTCGAATGGAATCGTCATCAAATGGAATCAAATGTAATCATGAAATGGACTCGAATGGAATCATCATCGAATGTAAACAAATAGAGTCACTGAAAGGACTCGAATGGAATCATCATCGAATGGAATCAAAGGGAATACATAAATGAACTCGAATGGAATCATCATCGAATGGAATTGAAAGGAATCATCGAATGGATTCGAAAGGAATCATCATCGAATGAAATTGAATGGAATCACTGAATGGACACGAATGGAATCATCATCGAATGGAATCGAATGGAATCATCGAATTGACTCGAATGGAATCATCGTCGAATGCAATTGAAAGCAATCATCGAATGGATTCAAATGGAATTATCAAATAGACTCGAATGGAATCATCGAATGCACTCCAATGGAATCATCAACTAATGGACACTAACGGAATGACCGAATGGACTCTAATGGAATCATTGAATGGAAATGAATGGAATCATTGATAGGACTCAGATGGAATTATTGAATGGGCTCAAATCAATCATCGAATGGACTCAAATGTAATCATTATCAAATGGAATCGAATGGAATCATCGAATGGAATTACTTGGAATCATCATCGAATGGATACAAATAAAATCATCGAATGGAATCGAATGCAATCATCATCGAATGGAATCGAATGGAATCATCATCGAATAGAATAGAATGGAATCATCGAATGGAAACGAATGGAATCATCATCGAATGGAGTCATCACTGAATGGAATAAAATGGAATCATCCAATGGAAGAGAATGGAATCATCATTGAATGGAATCAAAAGGAATCACCATCGAATGGAATCGAATAGAATCATCAAAAGAAATCGAATGGAATCATCATCGAAAGGAATCAAATCATCAACGAATGGAATAGAATGGAATCACAGAATGGAATCCAATGTAATCATCATCGAATTGAACCCAATGAATTCATTAAATGGACTCGAATGGAATCATCGAATGGACTCGAAGGGAATCATCATCGAATGGAATAGAATGGCATCATCTAATGGAATCGAATGGAATCATCATTGAATGAAATCGAATGGAATCATCAAATGGACCCGAATGGAATCATCATCGAATGGAATTGAATGGAATCATCGAATGGACTCGAATGGAATCAACATCAAATGGAATTGAAAGGAATCATCAAATGGACTTGAATGGAATCATTGAATGGGCTCGAATGGAATCATCAAATGAAATCGAATGGAATCACCAAATGGACACGAATGGAATCATCATCTAATAGCATCGAATGGAATTATCGAATGGACTCAAATGGAATATCATCGAATGGAATTAAAAGCAATCATCGAATGGACTCCAATGGAATTATCGAATGGACTCGAATGGAATCATTATCGAATGGACTCAAATGGAATGATCGAATGGTCTCCTATGGAATCATCAATTGGACTCAAATGGAATGATCAAATATCATTGAATGGAATCATCAAATTTACTCGAATGGAATCATTATTGAATAGAATCAAATGGAATCATCAAATGGAATCGAAGGGACTCATTGAATGCAATTAATCAGAATCATCATCGAACGGAATCAAATGGAATCATCAAATGGAATCGAATGCAGTCATCATCGAATGGAATCAAGTGGAATCATCTCTGAATAGAATCGAATGGAGTCATCGAATGGAAGCAAATGGAATCGTCGTCGAATGTAATCGAATGGAATCATTGAATGGAATCAAATGGAATCATCGAATGGAATTGAATGGAATCAGCATCGAATGAAATCGAATGTAATCTTCATAGAATAGAATCGAATGGAATCATAGAATGGAATCATTATCAAATGGAGTCCAAAGGAATCATCAAATGCACTCGAATGGAATCATCATAGAATGGAATTGAATGGAATCATCGAATGGAATCGAATGGAATTATCATCAAATGGAACCAAATGGTATCATCAAATGCACTCTAATTGAATCATCAATGAATGGTATCGAATGGAACCATTGAATGAAATCGAATGGAATAATCTCCAATTGGCATCAAAAGGAATCACCGAATGGACTCGAATGGAATAACCATCGAAAGGAATCGAATGGAATCATCGAATGGATTCGAATGGAATCATCACTGAATGGACAAGAATGGAATCATCGAATGGACTAGAATGGAATCATCATCGAATGTAATCAAATGGAATCATCATAGAATGAAATTGAAATGAATTAACATCAAATGTAGTGGAATGGAAACATTATCGAATGGAATCAAATGGAATCATCATCAAATGGAATCAAATGGAATCATCATAGAATGGAATTGAAATGAATTAACATAAAATGTAGTGGAATGGAATCATTATCGAATGGAATCCAAATGAATCATCATCAAAAGGAACCGAAAGGAATCATCATCGAATGGAACCGAAAGGGGTCATTATTGAATGGAATTGCATGGAATCATCATCGAAAGAAATCGAATGGAATCATCATCAAATGGAATCTAATGGAATCATTGAATTGAATTGAATGGAATAATCATCGAATGAAATGAATGGAATCATCAAATGGTCATGAATGGAATTTTTATCAAATGGAATCAAAAGTATTCACCGAATAAAATCGAATGGAATAATCATCGAATGGACTCGAAAGGAATCATCATCAATTGGAATCAAAAGGAATTATTGGATGGAATCCAATAGAATCATCAGATGGACTCGAATGGAATCATCGAATGGAATGGAATGGAATAATCAATGAACATGAAAGGAATCATCATTGAATGGAATCGAATGGAATCATCGAATGGAATCAAATGGAATCATCATCGAATGGAATCAAATGGAATCATCATCGAATGGAATCGAATGGAATCCTTGAATAGAATCAGATGGAATCATCAAATGGAATCGAACGGAATCATCATCAAACAGAATCGAATGGATGATCGAATGGAATCGAAGGCAATCATCATCGACTGGAATCAAATGAAATCATTGAATGGAATCGAATGGAATCATTGTCAAGTGGAATCCAGTGGAATCATTGAAAGAAATCGAATGGAATCATTGTCGAATGGAGTGGAATCAAATAATGAAATTGAATGGAATCACCAATGAATTGAATCGAATGGAATCATCATCGAATGGATTCGAAGGGAATCATTGAATGGACTTGAATAGTATCATCATCTAATGGAATCGTGTGGAATCATCTAATGCACATGAATAGAATAATCATCGAATGGAATCGAATGGAATCATCTAATGTATTCGAATGGAATCATCATTGAATGGAATAGAATGGAATCATTGAATGGAGTCGAATGGAATCATCATCGTATGGAATCGAGTGGAATCATTGAATGGACTCGAATGTAATCATTGGAGAATGGAATCAAATGGAATCATCAAATGGACTCGAATGGAATCATCATCGAATGGAATCGATTGGAATCATTGAATGGACTCAAATGGAATCATCACCAAATATAATCAAAAGCAATCATCAAATGGATTCAAATAGAATCATCAAAAGGACTCGAATGGAATCATCAGCAAATGGAATGAAGTGGAATCATCGAATGGACTCGAGTGAAATCATCATCGAACGGAATCAAATGGAATCAATGAATGGAATGGAATGGAATCATCATCGAATGGAATCAAATGGAATCACTGAATGGACGCGAATGGAATCATCATCAAATGGAATCGAATGGAATCATCTAATGAACTTGAAAGGAATCATCATCGAATGAAATCGAATGGAATCACCGAATTGACATGAATGGAATCATCATTGAATAGAATCGAATGGAATGATTGAATGGAATCGAATGGAATATCATTTAATGGAATCAAAAGCCATCATTGAATGGACTCGAGTGGGATCACTGAATGGACTCGAATGGAATCATCATCAAATGGACTCAAATGGAATGATCGAATGGACTCTAATGGAATCAAGGATTGGACTCAAATGGAATTATGGAATGGGCTCAAATGGTATCATCGAATGGACTTGAATGGAGTCATTACCGAATGGAATTAAATGGAATCATAGAATGGAATCAAACGGAATCATCGAATGGAATCGATCGGAATCTTCATCGAATGGAATCAGATGGAATCATCAAATGGAATTGAATGCAGTCATCATCGACTGGACTTGAATGTAATCATGATCGAATGGAATCGAATGGAATCAACGAATGGCATCGAATGGAATCATCATTGAATGGAATCTAATGGAATAATCGAATGAACTCGAATGGAATCATTGAATGGAGTTGAATGGAATCATAATCGAATGAAATCAAATGGAATCATTGAATAGCATCGAATGGAATCATCATCAAATGGAGTCGAAAGGAATCATCGAATGGACTCGAACGGAATCATCATGGAATGTAATCGAATGGAATCTTCGAATGGACCCGAGTAGAATCATCATCGAATGCAATCACATGGAATCATCATCGAATTTAATCGAATGGAGTCATCATCATATTGAATCGAGTGGAAGCATTGAATGGTTCAAAAGAAATCATTGGAGAATGGAATCGAATGGAATGATCGAAAAGACTCGAATGGAATCAACATCGAATGGAATCGAATGGAATCATCGAATGGACTAGAATGCAACCATCATTGAATTGAATCGAATGGAATAATAGAATGGACATGAATGCAATCATCAATGAATGGAATTGAATGGAATCATCAAATGGCATCGAATGGAATCATCATCAAAAGGAATCTAATGGAATAATAGAATGGACTTGAATGGAATCATCGAATGGAGATGAATGGAATCATCATTGAATGGAATAGATGGGAAACAACGAATAGCATTGCATGGAATCATCCTCGAATGGAGTCGAATGGAATCATCGAATGGACACAAATGGCATTGTTATGGAATGTAATCGAATGTAATCTTCGAATGGACTCGAATCAAATCATCATTGAATGCAATCGAATGGAATCATCATCAAATGGAATCGAATGGAATCATCATTGAATGAAATCATATGGAATCATCAAATGGAATAGAATTGAGTCTTCATCTAATGGAATCGAATAGAATCATAGACTGAAATGGAATGGGATCATCATCGAATGCAATTGAATAAAATCATCATTGAAAGGACTCGAATGGAATCATCGAACAGAATCAAACGGAATCATCATCAAATAAAATCAAATGGAATCATGGAATGGACTCGAATGGAATCATCATCGAATGGAATTGAATGGAATAATGGAATGCACTCGAATGGAATCATCGAATGGACTTGAATGAAATCAACATCGAGTGGAATTGAAAGGAATCATTGAATGGACTTGAATGGAATCATCAAATGGACTCTAATGGAATCTTCATCGAATAGAATCGAATGGAATCACTGAATGGATTCCAATGGAATCATTATCGAATGGAATCAAATGGAATCATCAAATGGAATTGAATGGAATCATCATTGAATGGAATCAAATGGAATGACAGAATGGAATCGAATGGATTCATCATTGAATGAAATCAAATGGAATCAACAAATGGAATCGAATGGAATCATCATTGAATGGAATTGAATGGAATCATAGAATGTAATTGAATGGAATCATTATTGAATGGAATCGAATGGAATCATCATGGAATGGAATTGAATGAAATCATCATCCAATGGAATTGAATGGAATCATAATCGAATGGAATTGAATGGAATCATCAATGAATTGAATTGAATGGAGTCATCCAATGGAATCCTTTGGAATCATCACCAAATGGAAGCGAATGCTGACATCATCGAGTGGAATCAAATGGAATTATCGAATGAACACGAATGGAAACATCATCGAATGTTATCGAATGGAATCTTCAAATAGACTCAAAAGCAATCATCGAATGGACTCGAGTGGAATCATTATAGAATAGTATCAAATAGAAACATCAAATGGACTCGAATGGAATTATCATCGAATGGAATCGAATGGAATCATTGAATGGACTCGAATGGAATCATCATCTAATGGAATCGAATGGAATCATTGAATGGAATGGAATGGAATCATCATCAAATGGAATCCAATGGAAACATGGAATGGAATCGAATGGAATCATCAACTGGAATTGAATGGAATCATCGAATGGAGTCGAAAGGAATCATCATCGAATGAAATCGAATGGAATTATTGAATAGAATCGAATGGAATCATCGTCAAATGGAGTCAAATGGAATCATAGAATGGAATTGAATTGACTCTTCATGGAATGTAATCGAATGGAATCTTCGAATGGACTCGAATGGAATCATCATTGAATGGAATTGAATGGAATCATCATCAAATCGAATTGAATGGAATCATCATCGAATGGAATCATCATCAAATGGAATCATCGAATGGAATAGAATTGAATCATCATCGAATGGAATCGATTAGAATCATAGAATGAAATCGAATGGAATCATCATCGAATGTAATCAAATGGAATCATGAACGAATGGAATTGAATGGAATCATAGAATGGAATCCAATGTAATCATCATCAAACTGAACCCAATGGAATCATTAAATTGAATCGAATGGAATCATCAAATGGAGTCAAACGGAACCATCATCGAATGAAATAGAATGGAATCATCGAATACAATTGAATGGAATCATCATCAAACTAAGTCAAATGGAATCATCGAATGGACTTGAATGGAATCATCATGGAAAAGAATAGAGTGGAATCATCGAATGGACTCGGATGGAATCATCATCATATTGAATTGAAAGGAATCATCAAATGGACTTAAATGGAATCATTGAATGGACTCAAATGGAAAGATCATCGAATGGAATTGAATGGAATCATTGAATGTACTCAAATGGAATCATCATCAAATGGATTCGAATGGAATGATTAAATGGACCCACATGGAATTATCGAATGGACTTAAATGCAATTATCGAATGGGCTCGAATGAAATCATCGAATGGATGAGAATGGAATCATTATCGAATGGAATCAAATGGAATCATCAAATGGAATCGAATGGAATCATTGAATGGAATCGATCGGAATCATCATTGAATGGAATCAAATGGAATTATCGATTGGAATCGATTGCTGTCATCATCAAATGGAATCAAATGGAATCATCATCGAATAGAATCGAATGGAATCATCAAATGGAATCGAATGGAATCATCATCAAATGTAATCGAAGGGAATCATCGAATGGAATCAAATGGAATTTTCGAATGGAATTGACTGGAATCAGCATCGAATGAAATCGAATGGAATCACCATCGAATAGAATCGAATGGAATCATTGAATAGAATCATCCTCAAATGGAGTCAAATGGAATCATTATAGAATGGAATTGAATGGAATCATCGTGTGAAATCAAATGGATTCATCATTGAATGGGATCGAATGGTATCATGGAATGCACTCAAATGGAATCATCAGCGAATGGTATAGAATGATATTATCGAATGAAATCAAATGGAATCATCTTCTATTGTAATCAAAAGGAATCACTGAATGGACACGAATGGAATAATCATCAAAAGGAATCAAATGGAATCATTGAATGGAATTGAATGGAATCATCATCGAATGGAATTGAATGGAATCATCAAATGAACTCGAATGGAATCATCATTGAATGGCATCAAATGGAATGATCATCTAATGGAATAGAAAAGAATCAACATCATATGGAATAGAATGGAATCATCGAATGGTATCGAATGGAATCATCATTTAATGGCATCAAGTGGAATGATCATCTAATGGAATAGAAAAGAATCAACATCAAATGGAGTCAAAAGGAATCATCATTGAATGGAATCCAAAGGAATCATCATCGAATGGAACCAAATGGAATCATCATCGAATGGAACCGAAAGGAGTCATCATCGAATGGAATCTAATGGAATCATCTAATGGAATTGAATGGAATCATCATGGAATGAAGTGAATGGAATCATCGAATGGTCTCGAAAGGAATCATCATCGAATGGAATCGAATGGAATCATCACTGAATGGAATTGAATAGAATACTCATCGAATATAATTTAATGGAATCATCAACGAATGGAATCGAATGGAATTCTCATCAAATGGAATGGAATGGAATCACCATCAAATAGAATCAAATGGGATCATCAAATGAAACCGAATGGAATCATCACCAAAACAAATCGAAATAAAATAAAGAATGGAATCCAAAGGTATCATTGAATGGAATCGAATGGAATCATCATTGAATGGACTCGAATGGAGTCATCATGGAATGGAAATGAATGGAATCATTTAATAGACTCGAATGTAATAATTGAATGCACTTGAATGGAATCATCGAATGGAATCGAATGGAATCACCACTGGATGAAATCAAATGGAAACATCGAATGGACTCGAATGGAAATATCACCGAATGGAGTCGAATGAAATCATGGAATGCACTCAAATGGAATAATCGAATTGACTCAAACGGAATCAACATCGAGCGGACTCAAAAGGAAACGTCAAATGGACTTGAATGGAATCATCAAATGGACTCGAATGAAATCATCACATGGAATTGAAAGTAATCTTCGAATGTACTTGAATGGAATCATTGAATGTACTCGAATCAAATCATCATCGAATGGAATCAAATGGAATCATCGAATGGACCCGAATGGAATCACCATTGAATGGAATCGCATGGAATCATCGATCGAATGGAATCGAATGTAATCATCAAATGGAATCCAATGGAATCATCATTGAATGTAATCGAATGGAATCGTCATTGAATGGAATCGAATGGAATCATCATCGAATGGAATATAATAGAATCATCATCAAATGGAAAAGAATGAATCGTCAACGAATGGAATCAAATGGAGAAATCAGATGAAATCCGTTGGAATCATCATCAGATGGAACCGAATGCAGTCATCATCGAATGGAATGGAATGGAATCATCAAATGGATTAGAAGGGAATCCTCATAGAATGGAATTGAATGGAATCACCGAATCGGCTTGAATGGAATCATCATCAAATGGAATCGAATGGAATCATCAAATGGACACGAATGAAATCATTGTTGAACGGAATCGAATGGAATCATTGAATGGCATCGAATGGAATCATCATCAAATGGAAACTAATGGATTCATCGAATGGACTCAAAAGGAACCATCAAATGGACTTGAGTGGAATCATCTTCGAATGGAATCAAATGGAAACATTGAATGGACCCAAATGGAATCATCATCGAATGGAATTGAATGAAATCATAATCGAATGGACTCGAATGGAATCATCATCGAATGGAGTCAAATGGAATCATCATTGAATACAATCGAATGGAATCACCTAATTGAATCAAATGGAAAGATCATCGAATGGAATCAAAGGAAATCATCGAATGGGATCGAACAGAGTCATCGAATGGAATCAAGTGGAATCCTCAAATGGATTCGAATGGAATCATCATCGAATGGAATCAAATGGAATCATTGAATGGACTCGAATGTAATCATCATTGAATGGAATCAAATGGAATAATCGAATGGACACAAACGCAATCATCATTGAATGGAATCGAATGGAATCATCAAATATCATCGAATGGAATCATCATCGAAAGGAATCTAATGGAATAATCGAATGGAATCGAATGGAATCATCGAATGGAGTTGAATGGAATCATCATCGAATGGAATAGAATAGAATCATCGAATAGCATCGAGTGGAATCATCGTCGAATGGAGTTGAATGGAATCATCGAATGGATTCTAATGGAATCGTCATGGAATGTAATCATACAGAATCTTCGAATGGACTCGAATCATCATCGCATGCAATCGAATGGAATCATCATCGAATGGAATCGAATGGAATCATCATCGAATGGAATCGAATGGAAACATCGAATGGAAGAGAATTGAATCATCATTGAATGGAATCCTATAGAATCATTGAATGAAATCGAATGGAATCATCATCGAATGCAATTGAATGGAATCATCATCGAATGGAATCGAATGGAATCATCGAATGGACATGAATGGAATCATTATTGAGTGGAATAAAATGGAATCATCATCAAATGGAATCAAATGGAATCATTATCAAATGGAATCTAATGGAATCATCATCTAATGGAACCGAATGGAATCATCAATGAATGGAATCGAATGGAGAAATCAAATGGAATCTGCTGGAATCATCATTGAATGGAAACAAATGCAGTAATCATCGAATGGAATCGAATGGAATCATCATCAAAAGGAATCAAAAGGAATCATAGAATGGAATCGAATGGAATCATCAAATGGAATCGAATGGAATCATCATCGAATCGACTTGAATGCAATTATGAGCGAATGGAATTGAATGGAATCATCGAATGGACTCGAATGGAATAATTGAATGGACTCAAATAGAATAATCAAATGGACTCAAATGGAATCATCAAATGGAATTGAATGGAATGATCAAATGAACTCGAATGGAATCATCATCAAATTGAATCAGATGGAATCATCGAATGGACTCGAATGGAATCATCAAATGGACTTGAATGGAATTATCGAATGGTCTCAAATGGAATAATCAAATGGACCCTAATGGAGTCATCATCGAATGGAATCTAATGGAATCATCAAATGGACTCGAATGGGATCATAGAATTGACTCGAATGAAACCATCAAATGGAATCGAATGGAATCATTGAATGGACCCGAAAAGAATCACCATCGAATGAAATCGAATGGAATCACCGAATGGACACGAAGGGAATCATCATCGAATAGAATCAAATGGCATCAACAAATTGCCTCAAATTGAATATAATCGAATTGAATCAAAAGCAATCATCGAATGGACTCAAAAGGAATTATCGAATGGACTCGAATGGAATTATTGAATGGACCCGAATGGATTAATAATCAAATCGACTCAAATGGAATGATTGAATGGACTCTAATGGAATCATCGATTGGACTCAAATGGAATTATCAAATGGGCTCGAATGGAAACATCGAATGGACATGAATGGAATCATTATCGAATGGAATCAAATGGAATCATTGAATGGAATCGAATGGAATCATCGAATGGAATTGATCAGAATCATCATCGAATGGAATTGAATGGAATCATCAAATGACTCGAACGGAACCATTATCAAATTGAATCAAATGGAATCATCGAATGGAATCAAATGGAATCATCGAAAGGAATTGAATGGAATCAGCATCGAATGAAATCGAATGGAATCATCATCGAATAGAATCGAATGGAATATTGGAATGGAATCATCATCAAATGGAGTCCAATGGAATCATCAAATTGACTTGAATGGAATCACCATAGAATGGAATTGAATGGAATCATCGAATGGAATCGAATGGAATTGAATGGTATCATCGAATGCACTCGAATGGAATCATCAACGAATGGTATCCAATGGTATCATCGAACGTAATCGAATGGAATCATCTTCAATTGGGATTGAAAGGAGTCACCGAATGGACTCGAATGGAATAATAATCGAAAGGAATCTAATGGAATCATTGAATGGAATCATTGAACGGACTCAAATGGAATCATCGAATGGACTAAAACGGAATCATCATCGTATAGAATCGAATTGAATCATTATCGAATGTAATCAAATGGAATCAACATCGAATGGAATCGAAAAGAATCAACATCAAATGGAGTTGAATGGAATCATCTTCGAATGGAATCCAAAGGAATCATCATCGAATGGAACCGAATGCAATCATCATTGAATGGAACCAAAAGGAGTCATCATTGAATGGAATCGCATGGAATCATCATCGAATGGAGTCGAATAGAATCATCATGGAATGGAATTGAAAGGAATCATCAAATGGACTTGAATGGAATCATTCAAAGTACTCGAATGGAATCATCATTGAATGAAATTGAATGGAGTCATCGAATGGACACGAATGGAATCATCATCGAATGCAATCGAGTGGAATCATCGAATGGAATCGAATGGAATCATCATTGAATGGAATCAAAAGGAATCATCATTGAATGGAATCGAATGGAATCATCATCGAATGGAACCTAACGGAATCATTATCTAATGGAACCGAATGGAATCATCAACAAATGGAATCGAATAGAGAAATCGAACAGAATACATTGGAATCATCATCGAAAGGAACCGAATGCAGTCGTCATCGAATGGAATCAAACGGAATCATCATCGAATGGAATCGAATGGAATCATCATCAAAAGGAATCTAAGGGAATCATCGAATGGAATCAAACGGAATAATCCAATGGAATCGAATGGAATCATCATCAAAAGAACTCCAATGGAATTATCATCGAATGGTATCAAATGGGATCATCGAATAGACTCGAATGGAATAATTGAATGGACTCAAATGGAATCATCGAATGGAATCGAATGGAATCATCAAATGGAACCGAATGGAAACATCATCGAATGGAATCTAATGGAATCATCAAATGGACTGGAATGTAATCATTGAATGGACTTGAATGGAATGATCAAAGAATGGAATCGAGTGGAATCCTCGAATGTAATCAAATGAAATCATCAAATGTAATCAAATGGAATCATCATCAAATGGAATCGAATGGAATCTTCGAATGTAATTGAATGCAATCATCATCGAATGGAATCGAATGGAATTATCATCGAATAGAATCAAATGGAATCATCGAATGGAATCGAATGGAGTCATCGTCAAGTGGAATCAAGTGTAATCATGGAATGGAATCGAATGGAATCATTGTCGAATGGAATGGAATGGAATCAATGAATGGAATTGAATGGAATCACCAATGAATGGAATGGAATGGAGTCATCATCAAATGGAATCGAATGGAATTATCGAATGGACTCGAATAGAATCATCATCGAATGGAATCACGTGGAATCATCTAATGGGGAAGAATAGAAACATCATCGAATGGAATCAAAAGGAATCATTGTCGAATGGAATGGAATGGAATCAAAGAATGGAATGGAATCACTAATGAATGGAATGGAATGGAGTCATCATCGAATGGAATCGAATGGAATCAAATGGTATCATCAAATGGACTCGAATAGAATCATCATCGAATGGAATCATGTGGAATCATCTAATGGGGAAGAAAAGAATCATCATCGAATGGAATCAAATGGAATCATCTAATGTACTCGAATGGAATCATCATTGAATGGAATAGAATGGAATGATGGAATGGAATTGAACGGAATCATCATCGTATGGAATCAAGTGGAATCATCGAATGGACTCGAATGTAATCATTGGAGAATGAAATCAAATGGAATCATCAAATGAACTCGAATGGAATCATCATCGAATGGAATCGAATGGAATCATCGAATTGACTTGAGTGGAATCATCATCGAATATAATCAAAAGCAATCATCAAGTGGATTCTAATAGAATCATCAAATGGATTCGAATGGAATCATCATCAAATGGAATCAAATGGAATCACCGAATGGACTCGAATGAAATCATCAGCGAATGGAATCAAATGGAATCATCGAATGGAATCAAATGGAATCATTGTCAAATGGAATAGAATGGAATCATGGAATGGACTCGAATGGAATCATAATCAAATGGAATCGAATGGAATCATCTAATGGACGGCAATAGAAACATCATCGAATGGAATCATCTATTGTACCCGAATGGAATCATCATAAAATGTAATCAGATGGAATCATCTAATGGACCCGAATGCAATCATCATCGAATGGAATCGAATGGAAACAACGAATGGACTCGAATGGAATCATCATCAAATATAATTGAAACAATCATCAAATGGATTTGAATGGAATCATCGAATGGACTCAAATGGAATCATCATCAAATGAAATCAAATGGAATCACTGAATGGACTCGAATGGAATGGTCATCAAATGGAATCGAATGGAATCATGGAATGGAATCCAATGGAATCATCCTCAAGTAGAATTGAATGGAATCATCGAATGGACTCGAATTTAGTCATCATCAAATGGAATCGAATGGAATCATCAAATAGAATTGAATGGAATCGTCATCGAAAGAAATCAAATTGAATTATCAAATAGACTCAATGGAATCATCGTAGAACGGAATCGAATGGAATCATCGAATGGACTCGAATTGAATCATCATTGAATGGAATGGAATGGAATGGAAGCATCAAATGGATTCGAATGGAATCATCATCGAATGAAATAGAAAGGAATCATTGAATGGAATCATAATTGAATGGAATCAAATGGAATGATCTAATGGACTCGAATAGAATCATTGTCGAATGGAATCAAAAGGAAACATCGAATAGACACGAACTGAATCATTATGGAATGGAATCGAATGGAGTCATAATCAAATGGAATCGTATAGAATCCTCATCGAATGGAATTGAATGGAATCATCAAATGGAATAGAATAGAATTATCTCCGAATGGAAACAAATGGAATCATTGAATGAAATCAAATGGAATCATCATCAAATGGAATCATCATCAAATAGAATCAAACAGAATCATTACCAAATGGAATGGAACGGAATCATCGAATGGAAACAAATCTAATCTTCGAATGGACTCGAATGGAATCATTATCGAACGGAATTGAATGTAATCTTTGAATGCACTCGAATGGAATCATCAACAAATGCAATAGAAGGGAATCATCAACGAATGGAATCGAATGGAATCATCATCAAAGGGAATCGAATGGAATCTTCGAATGGAATAGAATTGGATCAAAATCGAATGGAATCGAATAGAATCATCAAATGAAATTGAATGGAATCATCATCGAATGGAATCAAATCAAGTCATCATCAAACGGAATCAAATCAAGTCATCATCGAATGGAATCATCAAAGAATGGAATCAAATGGAATCATCATTGACAGGAATCGAATGGAATAATCAACGAATGGAATCGAATGGAATCATTGAACGGAATCCAATGTAATCATCATCGAATTGAACCCAATGGAATCATTACATGGAGTCGAATGGAATCATCGAATGGACTCAAATGGAACCATCATTGAATGGAATATAATGGAATCATCGAAGGGAATCGAATGGAATCATCATCAAATGAAATCAAATGGAATCATCGAATGGTCTCGATTGGAATCATCATTGAATGGAATGAAAAGCAATCATCAAATGGACTTGAATGGAATCACTGAATGGACTCGAAAGGAATCATCATTGAATGGAATCAAATGGAATCATCGAATGAACACGAATGGAATCACCATCGAATGGAATCGAATGGTATCATCAAATTGACTCAAATCGAATCATCATCAAATTTAATCAAACGGAATAATCAAATGTACTCGAATGGAATCATTGAATGGACTCGAATGGAATCATGACCTAATGGAATCAAATGGAATCATCGAATAGAATCAAATGTAATAATCATCAAATGAAATTACATTAAATCATGGAATGGACACGAATAGAGTCATCATCGAATGGAATCAAATGGAATCATCGAATAGACACGTATGGAATAATCATCGAATGGAATGGAAAGGAATCATCAAACGAAATCAACGGAATCATGATCGAATGAAATCAAATGGAATAATTGAATGGCACCGAATAGAATCATCATCAAATGGAATCAAATGGAATCATCTAACGGACACGAATGGAATAATCATTCAATGGAATCAAATGGAATAATCATCGAATGGAATTGAATGGGATCATCATCGAATGGAATAGAATGGAATCATCCAATGGATTAGAATGGAATCATCATCGAACGGGATCAAATGGAATCATTGAATGAAATTGAATGGAATCATCATCGAATGGAATAGAATGGAATCATCATCGAATGGAATTGAATGGATTCATCATCGAATGTAATTGAATGGAATCATCATCGAATGGAATCAAATGGAATCGTCATCGAATGGAATCGAATGGTATCATCCAATGTAATAGAATTGAATCTTCATTGAATGTAATCAAATATAATCATCGAATGAAATCAAATGGAATCATCATCGAATGGAATCGAACGGAATCATCAACGAAAGGAATCGAATGGAATCATAGAATGACATCCAATGTAATCATCATAGTATCAAACTCAACGGAATCATTAAATGGACCCGAATGGAATCATTGAATGGACTCGAATGGAATCATCATCAAATGGAATAGAATGGAATCATTCAATGGAATCGAATGGAATCATCATCGAATGAAATCAAATGGAATCATTGAATGGACACAAATGGAATCATCATCAAATAAAATCGAATGGAATCATCGAATGGACTTGAATGGAATCATCATTGCATGGACTAAAAAAGAATTCAATGGACTCGAATGGGATCATCATCGAATGGACTCAAATGGAATGATTGAATGGACTCGAATGGAATCATGGATGGGACTCAAATGAAATTATCGAAAGGGCTCGAATGGAATCATCGAATGGACTCGAATGGAATCATTATCGAATGGAATCAAATGGAATCATCGAATGGAATCAAATGGAATCATCGTATATAATCGATCGCAATACTCACCGAATGGAATCAAATGTAATCATCGAATGGAATCGAATGCAGTCATCATTGAATGGAATCGATTGGAATCATCATCGAATAGAATTGAATGGAATCATCAAATGGAATCGAATGGAATCATCCCCAAACGTAATCGAATGGAATCATCGAATGGAATCAAATGGAATAATCGAATGGAATTGCATGGAATCAGCATCGAAAGATATCGAATGGAATCATCATCGAATAGAATCGAATGGAATCATTGAATGGAATCATCCTCAAATGGAGTCAAATGGAATCATCGAATGGACTCGAATGGAATCATCATAGAATGGAATTGAATGGAATCATCGTGTGAAATCGAATCGATTCATCATTGAATGGGATCGAATGGTATCATGGAATGCACTCAAATGGAATCATCAGCGAATGGTATTGAATGGTATTATCGAATGGAATCGAATGGAATCATCTTCTATTGTAATCAAAAGGAATCACTGAATGGACTCGAAAGGAATAATCATCAAATGGAATCATTGAATGGAATTGAATGGAATCATCATCGAATGGAATTGAATGGAATCATCAAATGGACTCGAATGGAATCATCATCATATGGAATAGAATGGAATCATCGAATGGAATCAAATGGAATCATCATTGAATGGCATCAAATGGAATCATCATCTAATGGAATAGAAAATAATCAACATCAAATGGAGTCAAAAGAAATCATCATTGAATGGAATCCAAAGGAATCGTCATCGAATGGAACCAAATGGAATCATCATCGAGTGGAACCGAAAGGAGTCATCATTGAATGGAATCGCATGGAATCATCATCGAATGGAATCGAATGGAATCATCATCAAATGGAATCGAATGGAATCATCGAATGGAATTGAATGGAATCATCATCGAATGAATTGAATGGAGTCATTGAATGGTCTCAAATGGAATCATTATCAAATGGAATTGAATGGAATCACCGAATAGAATCAAATGGAATAATCATCGAATGGACTCGAATGGAATTATAATCAAATGGAATCGAATGGAATTATCGAATGGAATCGAATAGAATCATCAAATGGACTCGAATGGAATCATTGTATGGAATGTAATGGAGTAATCAATGAACTAGAATGGAAGCATCATTGAATGGAATCGAACAGAATCATCGAGTAGAATTGAATGGAATCATGATCAAATGGAATCGAATGGAATTACTATCGAATGGAATCGAAAAGAATCACCATCGATTGGAATTGAATGGAATCATCATCAAATGGAATCCAAAGGAATCATCATCGAATGGAACCTAATGGAATCATCATCAAATGGAAATGAAAGGAGTCATCATTGAATGGAATCGCATGGAATCATCATCGAATGGAATCGAATGGAATCATCATCAAATGGAATCTAATGGAATCATCGAAAGGAATTGAATGGAATCGTCATCGAATGAATTGAATGGAATCATTGAATGGTCTCGAATGGAATCATCTTCAAATGGAATCCCATGGAATCGTCGCATATAATCGAATGGAATTATCATCGAATGGACTCGAATGGAATCAACATCAAACGGAATCAAATGGAATTATAGAATGGAATCGAAGAGAATCATTGAATGGACTCAAATGGATCATCAAATGGAATGGAATGGAATAATCCATGGACTCGAATGCAATCATCATCGAATGGAATCAAATGGAATCATCGAATGGACTCAAATGGAGTAATCATCGAATGGAATTGAATGGAATCATCATCAGATAGAAACGAATGGAATCATCATCGAATGGAATCGAATGGAATCATCAAATGGTATCAGATGGAATCATCATCGAATGGAATCAAATAGAATTATGGAATGAAATCGAATGTGATCATCATCAAATGGACTCGAATGGAATCATCATCCAATGGAAACTAATGGAATCAAAATAGAATGGAATCGAATGGAAACACCATCGAATTGAAACGAATGTAATTATCATGAAATTGAAATGGATGGACTCATCATCGAATGGATTCGAATGGAATCATCGAATGGAATTGATTAGAATCATCATCAAATGGAATTGAATGGAATCAATGAATGGAATCGAATGGAATCATCATCCGATTGAAACGAATGGAATCATCATAGAATGGAATCGAATGGATTCACTGAATGGAATCAGATGGAATCATCAAATGGACTTGGATGGAATCATCGAATGGACTCGAATGGAATCATTATTGAATGGAATTGAATGGAATCATTGAATGGTCTCGAATGGAATCATCATCGAATGGAATCGAATTTAATCATCGAATGGAATCAAATGGAATCATCATCAAATGGAATCAAATACAATCGGCATCGAATAGAATTGAATGGAATCATCATCATTGGAATCAAATGGAATTTTCTTCAAATGGAATCCAATGGAAACACCATCGAATAGAATCGAATGGAAACATCATCGAATAGAATCGAATGGGATCATCAAATGAAACTGAATGGAATCATCATCAAAACGAATCAAAATAAAACAAAGAATGGGATCCAATGGAATCATTGAAAGGAATCAAATGGAATCATCATTGAATGGACTCAAATGGAGTCATCATCGAATGGAATCAAATGGAATCATTGAATGGACTCGAATGGAATCATCGAATGGAATCTAATGTAATCATCATCGAATGAAATCAAATGGAATCATCTAATGGAATCGAATGGAATCATCATCGAATGCAATTGAATGGAATCATCATCGAACGGTATTGATTGGAATCATCAACGAATGCAATACAATGGAATCACCATTGAATGGAACGAAATGGAATCATCAAATGGCCTCTAATGGAATCATCGAATGGAAATGAATGGAATCATCATTGAATGGAATCAAATGGAATCATCTTGGAATGGAATCAAATGGAATCATCGAATGGAATCGAAAGCAATCATCATCAAATGGAATAGAATGGAATCATCAAATGGAATCATCGAAAGGAATCGAATGGAATCACCATTGAATGCACTAGCATGGAATCATCATCGAACAGAATCGAAAGGAATCATCGAATGGACTCGAATGGAATCATCATCAAATGGAATCGTAAGGAATCATTGAATGGAATCAAATGGAATCGTAAGGAATCATTGAATGGAATCAAATGGAATCATCATGAAATGTAATAAAATGGAATCATAGAATGGAAACGAATGGAATCATCATCGAATGGATTCAAATAGAATCATCGAATGAAATCGAATGGAATCAACATCAAATGTAATCAAAAGGAATCATAGTATGGTATCAAATGGAATCATCATCGAACGGAATGGAGTGGAATCATCATCGTAGGGAATCAAAAGCAATCATTTAATGGACTCTAATAGAATCATCAAATGGACTTGAATGGAATCATCATTGAATGGAGTAGAATGGAATCATCGAATGGAGCCGAATGGAATCATCAGTGAACGGAATCGAGTGGAATCATCTAAAGGACCCGAATGGAATCATCTTTGAATGGAATAGAATGGAATCATCATCGTATGGAATCAAATGGAATCATCTAATGGACTCGAATGGAATCATCATCGAATTGAATAGAATGGAATCATCATCGAATGGAATCGAATGGAATCATGTAATGGACACGAATAGAATCATCATTGAATGGAAACAAATGGAATCATCTAATGTAACCGAATGGAATCATCATCGAATGGAATAGAATGGAATCTTCATTGTATGGAAAGGAGTGTAATCATCAAATGGACTCGAATGGAAATATCATTGAATGGAACCAAATGGAATCATCTAATGGACCCAAATGGAATCATCATCAAATGGAATCGAATGGAATCATCTAATGGACTCATATGGAATCATCATCAAATGGAATCGAATGGAATCATTCAATGGATTCGAATGGAATCATCACCAAATGGAATGGAATGGAATCATCAAATGGATTAGAATGGAATCATCATTTTATGAAATCAAATGGAATCATCGAACGGCATCAAATGGAATCATCATCAAATGGAATCGAGTGGAATGATCTAATGGACTCGAATGGAATCGTCGTTGAATGGAATCGAATGGAAACATCGAATGGACACGAATGGAATCATCATCAAATGGAATCAAATGGAATCATCATCAAATGTAATCGAATAGAATCATCTTTGAATGGAATCGAATGGAATCATCGAATGGAATAGAATGGACTCATCTTCGAATGGAATCAAATAGAATGATCGAATGCAATCAAACGGAATCGTCATTAAATGGAAACGAATGGAATCATCATCAAATGGAATTGAATAGAATCATCATCGAATGGAATGGAATGGAATCATCGAATGGACACCAATGGAACCATCATCAAATGGAATCATCATGGAATAGAATAGAATGGAATCATCAAATGGAATGGAATGGCATCATCATGGAAAGGAATCACAGGGAATCATCGAATGGAATCGAACCGAATCATCGAATGGAAATGAATGGAATCATCATCGAATGGACTCGAATGGAATTATCATCGAAAGGAATCAAATGGAATCATCAAATGGACTCGAATGGAATAATCGAATAGACTCCAATTGAATCAACAAATGAAATTGAATGCAATCATCAAATGGACTCAAATGGAATCATCATCAAATAGAATCGGATGGAATCAATGAAGGGACTCGAATGCAATCATCAAAAGGACACGAAAGGAATCATCATTGAATGGAATCAAATGGAATCACTGAATGGACTCAAATGGAATCATCAACGAATGGAATCGAATGGGATCATCGTCAAATGGAATTGAATGGTAACATCATCAAAAGTAATCCAATGGAATCACCGAATGGACACGAAAGTAATGATCAAACGGACACGAATGGAATCCTCAAATGGAATCAAATGGAATCATCGAATGGACTCGAATGGAATTATCGAATGGACTCAAATGGAGTCATCGAACTGACTCTAATGGAATCATCATCAAATGGAATCGAATGGAATCATCACATGGACTCCAATTGAATCATTGAATGGACTCGAATGAAATCATCGAATGGACTCAAATGGAATCATCATCGAATGGAATCGAAAGGAATCCTCGAATGGAATCAAATGGAATCATCAAATGAAATCGAAAGGAATCATCATCCAATGGAATCGAATGGAGTCATCAAATGAAATCGAATGGAATCATCATCCAATGGAATCGAATGGAATCATCGAATGGAATTGACGCAATCATCATTGAATGGAATCAAATGGAATCATCGAATGGAATCGAGTGGAATCATTGTCAAGTGGAATCAAGTGGAATCATAGAATGGAATCGAATGGAATCATTGGCGAATGGAATGGAATGGAATCAATGAATGGAATTGAATGCAATCACCAATGAATGGAATTGAATGGAATCATCCTCGAATGGAATTGAATGGAATCATCGAATGGACTCGAATAGAATCATCATTGAATGGAATCGTGTGGAATCATCTAATGGGTACGAATAGAATAATCATCAAATGGAATCGAATGGAGTCAGCTAATTTACTCGAAGGGAATCATTATTGAATGCAATAGAATGGAATCATCGAATGGAATGGAATCATCATCATATGGAATTGAGAGGAATCATTGATTGGACTCGAAAGTAATCATCAGCGAATGGAATCAAATGGAATCATCAAAGGGATGCGAATGGAAACATCATTGAATGGATTCAAATGGAATCTTTATCAAGTATAATCAAACACAATCATCAAATGGATTCAAATAGAATCATTGAATGGACTCGAATGGAATCATCATCGAATGGAATCAAATGGAATCGTTGAATGGACTCGAATGAAATCACCATCGAATGGAATCAAATGGAATCATTAAATGGACTCGAATGGAATCATCATCGAATGGAATCAAATGGAATCATCGAATTTACTCGAATGGAAACATCAAGTGGAATTGAAAGCAATCATCAAATGGACTTGAATTTAATCATTGCATGGACTTGAATGGAATCATCGAATGGACTCGAAAGGAATCATCATCGAATGCAATCGAATGGAATCACCGACTGGACACTAAAAGAATCATCTTTGAATAGAATTGAAAGGAATCATCAAACGGACTCTAATGGAATATCATCGAACAGAATCAAAAGCATCATCGAATGGACACAAATGGAATTATGGAATGGACTCGAATGGAATCATCGAATGGACTCGAATGGAATCATCATTGAATGGACTCAAATGGAATGATCGAATGAACTCGAATGGAATCATGGATTGGACTCAAATAGAATTATCGAATGGGCTCGAATGGATTCATTGAATGGACTCGAATGGAATCATTTTCGAATGGAATCAAATGGAATCATCAAATGGAACCAAAAGGAATCATCGAATGGAATCGATCAGAGTCATCATTGAATGGAATCAAATGGAATCATCGAATGGAATCAAATGCAGTAATTATCAAATAAACTCAAATGGAATCATCATTGAATGGAATCAGATGGAATCGTCAAAAGGCATGAAATGGAATCATCATCAAATGGAATCTAATGAAATAATACAATGGACTCAAATGGAATCATTGAATGGAGTCAAATGGAATCATCATCAAATGAAATCGAATGCAATCATCGAATAGCATTGAATGGAATCAACATCGAATGGAATTGAAAGGAATCATCAAATGGACTTGAATGCAATCATTGAATGGAATCGAATGGAATTCATCATTGAATGGAATCAAACGGAATAATAGAATCGACACAAATGGTATCATCATCAAATGGAATCGAATGGAATCAATGAAAGGAATCGAATGGAATCATCATTGAATGTTATCAAATGGAATCATCATCGAATGGAATCGAAAGGAATCATCATCTAATGGAAACGAATGCAATCATCATCAAATGGAATTGAATGGAATCAAATGGAATCATTGTCTAATGGAATCAAATGCAATCATAGAATGGAATCCAGTGGAATCATCATCGAATGGAATCGATTGGAATCATTATTGAATAGAATTGAATGGAATCACTGAATGGAATCATCATCAAATGGATTCCAATGGAATCATCGAATTGACTCGAATGGAATCATCATTGAATGGAATCGAATGGAATCATTGAATGGAAACGAATGGAATCATCATCGAATGAATCGAATGGTATCATCAAATGCACTTGAATGGAATCATCAATGAACGTAATCAAATGGTATCATCGAATAGAATCAAATGGAATCATCTTCGAGTGGAATCTAAAGGAATCGCCAAATGGACTCCAATGGAATTATCATTGAATGGAATCGAGTGGAATCATCGAATGTACTCGAATGGAATCATCGAATGGAATCAAATGGAATCATCGAATGGAATCGAATATAATCATCATAGAATGGATTCGAATGGAATCATCGAATATACTCGAATGGAATCATCATCGAATGGAAAAGAATGGAATCATCAAACGGACACGAATGGAATCATCATCGAATGGAATAGAATGGAATCATCAAATGGAATCGAATGGAATCATCATCGAATGGAATAAAATGGAATCATCAAATGGAATCGAATGGAATCATCAATGAATGGAATGGAATAGTATCATGGAATGGAATTGAATGCAATCATCTTTGAGTGGAATCTAAAGGAATCACCAAATGGACTCCAATCATCAGATGAAATCGATTGGAATCATCGAATTTGGTCGAATGGAATCATCATCGAATGGACTCAAATGCAATCATCATCGAATGGAAACGAAGGAATCATCGAATGGAATCGAAAGGAATCATCGAATGGACTTGAATGGAATAATCATCGAATGGAATCGAATGGAATCATCATGGAATGGAATCGAGTGGAATCATCGAATGGACTCGAATGGAATCATGCTCGAAAGAGATCGAATGGAATCATCAAATGGACTCGAATGGAATCATCATCGAATGAAATCGTATGGAATCTTCGAATGCAACTGAATGGAATCATTGGACTCGAATTGAATTATCGAATGTAATTGAATGGTATCATTGAAGGCACTCGAAAGGAATCATTGAATGGACTCGAAAGGAATCATCATCAAGTGGAATCAAATGGAATCATTGAATGGACTTGAATTGAATCATTGAATGGAATCGAATTGAATGTTTGAATGGACTCGAATGGAATCATCATTGAATCGAACCTAATGCAATCATCGAATGGCCTCGAATGGAGTCCTCATCGAATGGAATAGAAAGGAGTCACCAAATAGACTCCAATGGAATCATTGATTGGCCTCGAATTGAATCATCATCGAATGCAATCGAATGGAATCATCGAATGGACTCGAATGGAATCATCGAATGGACTCAAAAGGAATCGTCATCGAGTGGAATCAAGTGAAATCATCAAATGGACTCGAATGCAATCATCGAATGGCCTCAAATGGAATCATCATCGAACTGAATCGAATGGAATCATTGAATGGACCCGAATGGAATCATCATCAAGTGGAATTGAATGTAATCATCAATTGGACTCGAATGGAATCATCATCAAATGGAATCGCATGAAATCATAGAATGGCATCAAACGGAATCATCATTGATAAGAATCAAATGGAATCATCTAATGGACAAGAATGGAATCACAGTCGAATGGAATCGAATGGAGTCATCGAATACAATCGAATGGAATCATCCTCGAATGGAAGAGAATGTAATCATCATCGAATGGAATCAAAAGGAATCATTGAATGCACTCGAAAGGAACATCAAATGGATTCGAAAGGAATCATCAGCATGTGGAATCGAATGGAATCATCGAATGGACTCCAATTGAATCTTTGAATGAACTCGAATGGAATCATCGTCAAATGGAATCTAATGGAATCATTGAATGGAATCGAATGGAGTCCTCATCGAATGGAATCGAATGGAATCATCGAATGGACACAAATAGAATCATCGAATGGACCCAAAAGGAATCATCATTGAGTGAAATCGAATGAAATCATCAAACGGACTCAAATGCCATCATTGAATGGCCTCGAATGGAATCATCATCGAATAGAATTGAATGAAATCGTCAAATGGACATGAATGGAATCATCATTGAATGGAATTGAATGGAATCATCGAATGGAATCGAATGGAATCATCATCAAATGGAATCAAAAGGAACAATCGAATGGAATTGAACGGAATCATCAAATGGACTCAAATGGAATCATCATCAAACGGAATTGAATGGAATCATTAAACGGACCCGAATGGAATCATCATCGAATGGAATTGAATGGAATCATTGAATGGACTCGAATGGAATCATCATCAAATGGAATCGAAAGGAATCATGGCATGGAATCGAAAGGAAACATCATCAAATGGAATGGCATGGAATCATCGAATGGCATCAAACAGAATCATAATCAAAAAGAATTGAACGGAATCATCCAATGGACACGAATGGAATCATTATCAAAAGGAATCGAATGGAGACATCGAATGGAATCGAATGCAATCATCACGGAATGGAATCGAATGGAATCATCATTGAATGGAATCGAATGGAACCATTGAATGGAATTGAATGGAACCATCCAATGGAATCGAATGGAATCATGATCGAATGGAGTCAAATGGAATCATCATCAAATGGAATCGAATGGAATCATCATTGAATGGAGTCGAATGGAATCATCATCAAATGGAATCAAATGGAATCACCATCGAATGGAATGTTATGGAATCATCAAATGGACTCGAATGGAATCATTGATTGGAATCGAATGGAATCATCATGGAATGAAATAAAATGGAATAATCGAATGGACTCAAGTGGAATGACCATCGAATGGAATCGAATGAAATCATGGAACACACTCAAATTTAATCATTGAATGGACTCAAATGGAATCAACGTCTAGTGGAATCGAAAGGAAACATCGAATGGACTTGAATGGAATCATCGAATGGACTCGAATGCAATCATCATCGAATGGAAACAAGTGGAATCATCGAATGGAATCGAACGGAATCATCATTGAATGGAATCGAATGGAGTCATCAATGAATGTAATTGAATGGAGTCATCGAATGGATTCCGTTCGAATCATCATCGAAAGGAACCGAATGCAGTCATCATCGAATGGAATCAGATGTAATTATCGAATGGAATCATCATCGAATGGAATCGAATGGAATCATCGAATAGACTCGAAAGCAATCAACCAATGGACTCGAATGGAATCATCATCGAATAGAATAAAAAGTAAACATCGAAACGAATCGAAAGGAATTATCAGCGAGTGGAATCGAATAGAATCATCGAAAGGACTCGAATGGAATCATCATTGAATGGAATCGAATGGAAACATCTAATGGCATCGCATGGAAGCATCATTGAATGGAATCGAATGGAATCATTGAATGGCTTTGAATGGAATCATCATCATTGGAATCGAATGAAATCATTGAATGGAATTGAAAGGAATGGTCTTCGAATGATATCGAATGGAATCCTAGAATGTAATCAAATGGAATCATCAAATGGAATTGATCAGAATCAACATAGAATGGAATCATCAAATGGAATTGAACAGAATCATCATCGAATGGAATCGAATGGAATCATCAAATGGAATCGAAGGCAATCATCATCAAATGGAATCAAAGGGAATCATCGAATGGAATCGCATGAAATCATCGAATGGCATCAAACAGAATCATCATTGATAAGAATCAAATGGAATCACCTAATGGACAAGAATAGAATCACAATCGAATGGGATCGAATGGAGTCATCCAATACAATCGAATGGAATCATCATCGAATGGAAGAGAATGTAATCATCATCGAATGGAATCAAAAGGAATCATTGAATGCACTCGAAAGGAAACATCAAATGGACTCGAAAGGAACCATTATCATGTGGAATCGAATGGAATCATCGAATGGACTCGAATTGAATCTTTGAATGAACTCGAATGGAATCTAATGGAATCATTGAATGGACTCGAATGGAGTCCTCATCGAATGGAATCGAATGGAATCATCGAATGGACACAAATCGAATCATCGAATGGACTCAAAAGGAATCATCATTGGAATCAAATGAAATCATCAAACGGACTCAAATGCAATCATTGAATGGCCTCAAATGGAATCATCATCGAATAGACTCCAATGAAATCATCAAATGGACACGAATGGCATCATCATCGAATGGTATTGAATGGAATCATCAAATGGAATCGAATGGAATCATCATCAAATGGAATTGAAAGGAATAATCGAATGGACTAAAAGAGAATCATCGAATGGACTCAAATGGAATCATCATTGAACCGAAATGAATGGAATTGTTAAATGGACTCGAATGGAATCATCATCGAATGGTATTGAATGGAATCATTGTATGGACTCGAATGGAATCATCATCATATGGAATGGAAAGGAATAATGGAATGGACTCGAATGGAATCATCGAATGGACTCAAATGGAATCATCATCAAACTGAATCGAATGGAATCATTGAATGGACCCGAATGAAATCATCATCTAATGGAATTGAATGTAATCGTCGAATGGACTCGAATGGAATCATCATCAAATAGAATCAAATGGAATCATTGAATCGAATCGAATGGAATCATCATCTAATGGAATCACATGAAATCATCGAATGGCATCAAACGGAATCATCATTGACAAGAATCAAATGGAATCACCTAATGGACAAGAATGGAATCACAATCGAATGGAATCGAATGGAGTCATCGAATACAATCGAATGAAATCATCATCTATTGGAAGAGAATGTAATCATCATCGAATGGAATTGAAAGGAATCATTGAATGCACTCGAAAGGAAACATCGAATGGATTCGAAAGGAATCATCATCATTTGGAATCACAAGGAATCATCGAATGGACTCGAAATGAATCTTTGAATGAACTCGAATGGAATCATCATCGAATGGAATCTAATGGAATCATTGAATGGACAAGAATGGAGTCCTCATCGAATGGAATCTAATGGAATCATTGAATGGACTCGAATGGAGTCCTCATCGAATGGAATCGAATGGAATCATCAAATGGACACAAATCGAATCATCGAATGGACTCAAATGGAATCATCATTGAATGGAATTGAAAGGAATTATCAGTGAGTGGAATCGAATAGAATCATCAAATGGACTCGAATGGAATCATCATTGAATGGAATCCAATGGAAACATCTAATGGCATCACATGGAAGCATCATCGAATGGAATCAAATGGAATCATTGAATGGCCTTGAATGGAATCATCATCTTTGGAATCGAATGAAATCATTGAATGGAATTGAAAGGAATGATCATCGAATTATATCGAATGGAATCCTCGAATGTAATCAAATGGAATCATCAAATGGAATTGAACAGAATCATCTTCGAATGGAATCGAATGGAATCATCAAATGGAATTGAACAGAATCATCATCGAATGGAATCGAATGGAATCATCAAATGGAATCGAAGGCAATCATCATCAAATGGAATCAAAGGGAATCATTGAATGGAATCGAAGGGAATGATTGTCAAGTGGAATCGAGTGGAATCATCAAATGGAATCAAATGGAATCATTGTCGAATGGCATGGAATGGAATCAATGAATGGAATTGAATGGAATCACCAAGGAATTGAATAGAATGGAATCATCATCGAATGGAATCAAATGGAATCATCAAATGCACTCGAATGCAATCATTATCGAATGGAATCATGTGAAATCATCTAATGGGCACGAATAGAATCATCATCGAATGGAATCGAATGGAATCGTCTAATGTACACGAATGGAATCGTCATTGAATGGAATAGAATGGAATCATCGAATGGAATCGAATGGAATCAACATCGTATGGAATCGAGTGGAATCATTGAATGGACTTGAATGTAATCATCGGAGAATGGAAGCAAACGGAATCATCAAATGGGCTCGAATGGAATCATCAACGAATAGAATTGAATGGAATTATCAAATGGACTCGAATGGAATAATCATCGAATATCAAAAGCAATCATCAAATGGATTCAAATAGAATCATCGAATGGATTCGAATGGAATCATCATAGAATGTAATCAAATGGAATCATCGAATGGACTCGAATGAAATCATCATCAAAGGGAATCAAATGGAATCATCAAATGGACTCAAATGAAATCATCATCGAATGTAATCGAATGGAATCATTGAATGGAATCAAATGGAATCAACATCGAACGATATCAAATGTAACCATTGAATGGCATCGAATGGAATCATCATCGAATGGAATCAAATAGAATCATTGAATGGAATCGAATGGAATCATCAATGAATGGAATTGAATGGAATCATCGAATGGAATCGAATGGAATCATCATCAGATGGAATCGAATGGAATTATCTAATGGACACGAATGGAATCCTCATCGAATGCAATCCAATGTAATCATCGAATGGACACGAATGGAATCATCATTGAATGGAATGGAATGGAATTGTTATTGAATGGAATCGAATGGAATCATCAAATGGAATAGAGTGCAGTCATCATCGAATGGAATCGAATGTATTCATCAAATTGCATCGAATGGAATCATTGATTGGAATAGAAGGGAATCATCATAGAATGGAAACGAATAGAATCATCGAATGAAATCGAATGGAATCATCATCAAATGGAGGCGAATGGAATCAACATCGAATGGAATCTAATGGAATCATCAACGAATGGGATCAAATGGAATCATTGAATGGAATCCAATGGAATCATCATCAAATGGAACTGAATGGAATCATCGAATGGACAGGAATGGAATCATGATTGAATGGAATCTAATGGAATCAATGAATGGACACGAATGGAATCATCATCGAATGGAATCTAATTGAATCATCCAATGGAATTAAATGGAATCATCAATGATTCGAATCAAATGGAATCATCATCGAATGGAATCAATGGAATCATCGAATGGAATCTGATGGAATCATCATCGAATGGAATCGAATATAAGCATCGAAATAAATTGAATGGAATCACCATCAAACAGACTCGAACAGAATTATCATCGAATGGACTCGAATGGAATCATCGTCAAATGGAATAGAATGGAATCATCATCAAATGGAATCGAATGGAACCATCATCAAATGGAATCGAAAGGAACAGTCAACGAATGGAATCAAATGGAATCCTCGAATGGAATAAAATGGAATCATTATCAAATGGAACTGAATGGAATCATAGAATGGACTCTAATGGAATCATCATCGAATGGAATCGAATGGAACCATCCAATGAACTCTAATGGAATTATCGTTGAATGGAATCGAATGGAAACATGGAATGGAAACGAATGGAATCAACATCAAATGAAATCGAATGGAATCATCAAATGGACTCGAATGTAATCATCATCGAATGGAATCAAATGCAATCATTGAATGGACTCATATGAAATCACCATCGAATGGAATAGAATGGAATCTCAAATGGAATCGAATGGAATTCTCGAATGGCATCGAATGGAATCATCATCCAATGGAATCATCGAATGGAAACGAATGGAATAATCATTCAATGAAATCTAATGTAATCTTCGAATGGCAACATAAGGAATCATCAAATGGAATCAAATTGAATCATCTAGCGGACTCGTATGGAATCATCATTGAATGGAATCGAGTGGAATCATCGAATGGACACGAATGGGATCATCATCAAATGCAATCAAATGGAATCATCACGGAATGGAATCGAATGGAATCATCGAATGGAATAGAAGGGAATCATCATTAAATGGTATCAAATAGAATCATCAAATGAAATCGAATGGAATCATCATTGAATGGAATCGAATAGAATCATCATCGAATGTAATCGAATGGAATAAACATCAAATGGATTCGAAAGGAATCTTCAACAAATGGAATACCATTGAATCATTGAATATAATCTAATGGAATCATCATCACCTGGAACTGAAGGGAATCATCATAGAGTGGAAACGAGTGGAATCATCATCGAATGGAATCCAATGGGATCATCATCGAATGGAATCAAATGGAGTCATTGAATTGGAAAGAACGGAATCATCGAATGGAATCGAATTGAATCATCAATTGGAGTCGAATGGAATCATCATCAAATGGAATCATATGGAATCAATGAAAGGACTCGAATGGAACCATCATCAAATGGAATCAAATGGAATCATCGAATGGACACGAATGGAATCATCATTGAATGTGATCAAATGGAATCCTCGAATGGACCCGAATGGAAACATCTTCAAATGGAAACAAATGGAATCATCGAATGGAATAAAATAGAATCATCAATGAATGGAATCTAAGGGAATAATCGAATGGAATCAAATGGAATCATCGAATGGACTCGAGTGGAATCATAATCGAATGGAATCGAGTGGAATCATCAATTGGACTCGAATGGAATAATCATCAAATGGAATCTAATGGAATCATGGAATGGACTCGAATGGAATCATCATTCAATTTAATCTAATGGAATCATTCAAAAGACTCGACTAGAATCATCATTGAATGGATTCAAATGGAATCATAGAATGGCATCGAATGGAATCATTATAGAATGGAATTGAATGTAATCATCGAATGGACTCGAATGGAAATATCATCGAATGCAATCAAATGGAATCTTCGAATGGACTCGATTGGAATCATCACCGAATGCAATCTAATGGAAATATCATTGAATGGAATCATCATTGAATGGAATCGAATTGAATCATCAACGAATGGAGTCTAATGGAATCATCATTGAATGGAAACGAATGGAACCATCATCCAATGGAATCGAACGGAATCATCCAATGGAATCGAATAGAATCATCATCGAATGGAATCGAATAGAATCATTGAATGAAATTGAATGGAATCATCATCGAATGGAATCGAATGGAATCATCAACGAATGGAATCCAATGTAATCATCATCGAATTGAAACCAATGGATTCATTAAATGGAATCGAATGGAATCATAGAATGGACTTGAATAGGATCATCATCGAATGAAATAGAATGCAATCATCGAATGGAATCGAATGGAATCATCATCGAATGAAATCAAAGGCAATGATCGAATGGACCCGAATGGAATCATCATCGAATGGAATCGAATGGAATCACCCAATGGACTCGAATGGAATCATCATAGAATGAAATTGAAAGGAAACATCGAATGGACTTCAATGGAATCATTGAATGGACTCAAATGGAATCATCATGGAATGGAATCGAATGGAATAATCAAATGGACACGAATGGAATAATCATCGAATGGAATTGAATGGAATCATCGAGTGAAATCAAATGGAATCATCATCGAATGGAGTCGAATGGAATCATCATTGAATGGAATTGAAATTAATCATCATCGATGGGATTCCAATGGAATTATGACCTACTGGAATCGAATGGAATCAACAATGAATTCAGTTGAATGGAGAAATCGAATGGAATCCGTTGGAATCATCATTGAATTGAACCGAATGCAGTCATCATCAAATGGAATTGAATGGAATCATCATCGAATGGAATTGAAAGGAATCATCTTTGAATCAAATAGAATGGTATCATCGAATGGAATAGAATGGAATCATCATAGAAAGAAATCGAAGGGAATCATCAAATGGAATCAAAAGTTATCATCTAATGGAATCAAATGGAGTAATCATCAAATGGAATCAAATGGAATCATCGAATAGACTCGAATGGATAATCGAATGGACTTGAATGGAATCATCAAATGGAGATGAATGGAATCATCATCGGATGGACACGAATGGAATCATCGAATGGAATTGAAAGGAATCATCATCGAATGGAATTGAATGGAATCATCATCGAATGGAATCCAAAAGAATCATCGATGAATGGAGTCGAATGGAGTCATCGAATGGAGTCCTTTGGAATCATCATCGAATGGAACTGAATGCACGCAGCATCAAATGGAATCAAATGGTATCATCAAATGGACTCGATGGAATCATCATCACATGGAATCAAATGGAATCATCTAATTGACTTGAATGGAGTTATCTTTCGGTGGAATTGAATGGAATCATCGAATGCACTTGAATGGAATCATCATTGAATGGCATTGAAAGGAATCATCGAATGGACTTGAATGGAATCATTGAATGTACTTGAGTGGAATCAACATCGAATGGACTTGAATGGAATCATTGAATGTACTTGAGTGGAATCACCATCAAATGGAATCAAATGGAATCATCGAATGGACACTAATGGAATAACCCTTGAATGGAATCGAATGGAATCATCATTGAATGGAATTGAATGGAATTGTCATTGAATGGAATTGATTGGAATCATCATCGAATGCAATCTAATGGAATCATCATTTAATGGAAACGAATGGAATCATCAACGAATGGAATCAAATGGAGAAATAGAATGGAATCCGATGGAATCATCATCAGATGAAACCGAATGCAGTCATCATCAAATGGACTAGAATGGAATCATCAAATGGACTAGAATGGAATCATCATCAAATGGAATTGAATGGAATCATTGAATGGACTCGAATGGAATGACCATCAAATGGAATTGAATGGAATCATCGAATGGAATCATAATCAAATGGAATCGAATGGAATCATCGACTGGAGCCAAATGGAATCATCATCAAATGGAATCAAAAGGAATCAACGAATGGAATTGAATGGAATCATCATTGAATGGAATCGAATTGAGTAATCAAGGAATGGAGTCGAATGCAATCATCATCGAATGGAATCATAATCGAATGGAATCGAATGGAATCATCGAATGGAGCAGAATGGAATCATCATTGAATGGAATCAAAAGGAATCATCGAATGGAATTGAATGGAATCATCATTGTATGGAATTGAATGGAGTAATCATGGAATGGAGTAAAATGGAATCATCATCGAATGGAATCGAATGGAAACATCATCGAATGGGACCGAATGGAATCATCAATGAATGGAATCGAATGGAGTCATTGAATGGAGTCCGTTGGGTTCATCATCGAATGGAACCGAATGCAGTCATCATGGAATGAAATCAAATGGAATCATCAAATGGACTCGATGGAATCATCATCACATGGAATCAAATGGAATCATCAAATGGACTCAAATACAATCATCGAATGGACTCGAATGGAATCATCATCAAATGGAATCGAAAGGAATCATCGAATGGACTCAAATTGAAGTATCATCGAGTGGAATCGAAGGGAATCATTGAATGCACTTGAATGGAATCACCATCGAATGGAATCAAATGGAATCCACGAATGGAATCGAGTGGAATCACAATTGAATGGAATTAAATTGAATCGTCATTGAATGGAATCAAATGGAATCATCATTGAATGAAATCTAATGGAATCATCAACTAATGGAAACGAATGGAATCATCAACGAATGGAATCAAATGAAGAAATAGAATGGAATCCGTTGGAATCATCATCAAATGGAACTGAAAGCAGTCATAATCGAATGGAATCGAATGGAATCATCAAATGTGTTAGAATGGAATCATCAACGAATGGAATTGAATGCAATCATCGAATTGACTTGAATGGAATGACCATCAAATGGAATTGAATGGAATCATCGAATGTACACGAATGCAATCATCGTTGAATGGATATGAATGAAATCATCGAATGACATCAAATGGAATCATCTTCCAATGGAATCTAATGAAATCATTGAATGGACTCGAATGGAATCATCGAATGGACTTGAGTGGAATCATCATCGAATGGAATCGAATGGAATCATTGAATGGACTCGAATGGAATCATCATCAAATGGAATCGAATATGATCATAATCAAATGGAATTGAATGGAATCATCATCTATAGGATTCGATTGGAACAATCATTGAATAGAATCGAATGGAATCACCAAATTCAATCAAATGGAAGGATCATGAAATGGATTCGAAGGAAATCATCCAATGGGATCGAACAGAGTCATTGAATAGAATCGAGTGAAATCATTGAATGGATTCAAATGTAATCATCATTGAATGGAATCGAATGGAATCATTGAATGGACTCTAATGGAATCATCATTGAATGGAATTGAATAGAACCATCGAATGGACACGAATGCAATCATCATTGAATGGACTCGAATGGAATCATCAAATGGAGTCAAATGTAATCATTATCGAATGGAATCGAATGGAATCATTGAATAGCATTGAATGGAATCATCGTCAAATGCAGTCGAATGGAATCATCGAATGGACTGGAACAGAATCATCATGCAATGTAATCGAATGGAAACTTCGAATGGACATGAATGGAATCATCATAAAATGCAATCGAATGGAATCATCATTGAATGGAATAGAATAGAATCATCCAATGGAATAGAATTGATTCATCATCGAAAGGAATTGAATAGAATCATTGAATGAAATCGAATGGAATCATCATCGAGTGGAATTGAATGGAATCAAGAACAAATGGAATCGAATGGAATCATAGAATGGAATCCAATGTTATCATCATCGAATTGAACTCAATGGAATAATCAAATGGACTCGAATGGAATAATCGAATGGACTCGAAAGCAATCATCATCGAATGGAATAGAATGGAATTATCAAATGCAATCGAATGGAATCATCATCGAATTTTATCAAATGGAATCATCGAATGGACACGAATGGAATCATCATCGAATGGAATCGAATGGAATGATCGAATAGGATCGAATGGAATAATCCTCGAATGGACTCGAATGGAGTCAACATCAAATGGAATCGAATGGAATTATCGAATGGAATGGAATAGAATCATCAAATGGACTCTAATGGAATCATCGAATGGAATGGAATGGAATAATCAATGTACTCGAATGGAAACATCGAATGGAATGGAATGGAATAATCAATGTACTCGAATGGAATAATCATCGAATGGAATCGAATTGAATCATCGAATGGGCTCGAATGGAATCATCATCAAATGGAATCAAATGGAAACATCAAATGGATTCATATGGAGTCTTCATCAAATGGAATCAAATGGAATCATCGAATGGACTCGTATGGAATCTTCATCGAATGGAATCGAATGGAATCATTGAATGGACTCGAATGGAATCATCATCAAATGGACTCAAATGGAATCATCGAATGGACTCAAATGGAATCATCATCGAATGGTATCGAATGGAATCATAGAAATTACTCGAATGGAATAATCATCAAATGTAATCGAATGGAATCATCATCGGATTTAAACAAATGGAATCATCATCGAATGGAATCAAATGATTCATCGAATGGAATCAGAAGGAATCATCATTGAATGGAATCGAATAGAATCGTCGAATGAAATCGAATGGAATCATCATCGAATGGACTCGAGTGGAACCATCATCGAATGGACTTGAATGAAATCATCATCCAATGGAATCAACTGGAATCAACATCAACTGGAAACGAATGGAAACACCATCGAATTGAATCGAATGGAATCATCACGGAATTGAAATGTATAGACTCATCATCAAGTGGATTCGAAGGGAATCATCGATTGGAATTGATTGGAATCATCATCGAATGGAATCGAATGGAATCATTGAATGGAATCGAATGAAATCATCACCGAATGGAATCAAATGGAATCATCGAATGGACCTTAATGGAATCATCATCGAATGGAATGAGATGGAATCATGAAATGGACTTGAATGGAGTCATCGAATGGACTCGAATGGAATCATTATTGAATATAATTGAATGGAATCATCGAAAAGTTTCAAATGGAATCACCATCAAATGGAATCGAATGGAATCATCGAATGGAATCGAATGGAATCATTATCGAAAGGAATCAAATAGAATCAGCATCAAATATAATCAAATGCAATAATCATCGAATGGAATCGAATGGAATTTTCATCAAATGGGATTGAATGGAATCATGGATTGGAATCGGATGGGATCATCGCATGAAAGAGAAAGGAATCATCATCAAAAAGAATGGAAATAAAACAAAGAATGGAATCCAATGGAATCATCAAATGGAATCAAATGGAATCATCATTGAATGGATTCAAATGGGGTCATTATCGAATGGAATCGAATGGAATCATTTAATGGACTCAAAAGGAATCATTGGACTACAATGGGATCACCAAATGGAATCGAATGGAATCATCATCAAATGAAATAAAATGGAATAATCAAATGCACTCCAATGGAATCATCACTGAATGGAATCGAATGAAATCATGGAATGCACTCAAATGGAATCATCGAATGGACTCCAATGGAATCAATATCAAATGGAATCGATAGGAAACATCGAATGGAATTGAAAGGAATCATCCAATGGAATCATGATTGAATGGAATCAAATGGAATCATCGAATGGGCCCAAATGGAATCATTATCAAATGGAATCAAAAGGAATCATCGAATGGAATCGAATGGAATCATCAATGAATGGAATCGAATGGAAAAATCATCGAATGGAATCGAATGGAATCATCAATGAATGGAATCAAATGGAATCATCGAATGGAGTCTGTTGGAATCATCATCGAATGGAACCGAATGCAGTCATCATCAAATGAAATCAAATGGAATCATCGAATGGACTCAATGGAATCATCATCGCATGGTATCGAATGGAATCATCAAATGGAGTCGAATGCAATCATCGAATGGACTCGAATATAAAGTATCATTGAGTGGAATTGAATGGAATCATTGAATGCACTCAAATGGCATCACAATCGAAGGGAATTAAATGGAATCATCGAATGGAATCGAGTGGAATCATCATTGAACGGAATTAAATGGAATCGTCATTGAATGGAATCGAATGGAATCATCATCGAAAGGAATCTAATAGAATCATCATCTAATGGAAACAAATGGAATCTTCAACGAATGGAATCAAATGAAGAAATAGAATGGATTCCTTTGGAATCATCATCAAATGGAACCGAATGCAGTCATCATCAAATGGAATCGAATGGAATCATCAAATGGATTAGAATGGAATCATCGTCGAATGTAATTGAATGGAATCATCGAATGGACTCGAATGGAATGACCATCAAATGGAATCAAATGGAATCATCGAATATACACGAATGGAATCATTGTTGAATGGATTTGAAAAAAATCATCAAATGACATTGAATGGAATCATCTTCGAATGGAATCTAATGAAACCATCAAATGGACTCGAATGGAATCATCAAATGGAATCGAAGGCAATCATCATATAATGGAATCAAGTGGAATCATTGAATGGAAATGAAGGGAATCACATCAAGTGGAATCGAGTGGAATCTTCGAATGGAATCGAATGGAATCATTGTCGAATGGAATTGAATGGAATCAGTGAATTGAATTGAATGGAATCAACAATGAATGGAATCGAACGGAATCATCATCATATGGAATCGAGTAGAATCATTGAAAGGACTCGAATGTAACCATCGGAGAATGGAATCAAATGGAATCATTGAATGGACTTGAATGAAATCATCATTGAATGGAATCGAATGGAATCATCGAATGGAATCGAATGGAATCGAGTGGAATAATCATGGAATGGAATCAAAAGCAATCATCCTCGAATGGACTCGAATGAAATCATCAAATGTACTCAAAAGGAATCATCGAATGGAATTGAATGGAATCTTCGAATGGCCCTGAATAGAATCATCATCGAATGGAATTGAATGGAATAATCATGGAATGGAATCAAAAGCAATCATCCTCAAATGGACTCGAATGAAATCATCAAATGTACTCGAATGGAATCATCAAATGGAATTGAATGGAATCTTCGAATGGCCCCGAATGGAATCATCATCGAATGGATTCGAATGGAATCGTTGAACGGACTCGAATGGAATCATGATCGAATGGAATCAACCATCTAATGGAATCGAATGGAATCATAATAGAATGAAAACGAATGGAATCATTGGATGATGTCAAATGGAATCATCTTCGAAAGGAATCGAATGGAATCATCGAATAGACTCGAATGCAATCATCAGTGAATGGAATTGAATGGAATCATTGAATGGGCTCGAATGGAATCATCATCGAATGGAATGGAATGGAATCATCATCGAATGGAATCAAATTGAATCATTGAATGGAATCGAATGGAATCATAATCGAATATAATCGAAAGCAATCATCAAATGGATTCGAATAGAATCATCGAATGGCTCGAATGGAATTATCATCGAATGTAATCAAATGGAATCATCTAATGGACTCGAATGGAATCGTCATCGAATGGAATCAAATGTAATCATCAAATGGACTCGAATGTAATCATCATCGAATGTAAACAAATGGGATCACTGAAAAGACTCGAATGGAATCATCATCGAATGAAATCAAAGGGAATCTGTAAATGAACTCGAATCGAAACATCCTCAAATGGAATTGAATGGAATCATCGAATGGATTCAAAAGGAATCATCATCGAATGAAATTTATTGGAATCACTGAATGCACACGAATGGAATCATCATTGAATGAAATCGAATGGAGTCATCAAATTGACTCGAATGGAATCGTCGTCAAATGGAATTGAAAGCAATCATCAAATGGATTCGAATGGAATTATCAAATGGAATCTAATGGAATCATCGAATGCACTCCAATGGAACCATCATGGAATGGAATCTAATGGAATGATTGAATGGACTCTAATGGAATCATTGAATGCAAATGAATGGAATCATTGATAGGACTCAAATGGAATTATTGAATTGGCTCAAATGGAATCATCGAATGGACTCTAATGTAATCATTATCGAATGGAATTGAATGGAATCAACAAATGGAATTGATCGGAATCATCGAATGGAATCAAATAAAATCATCGAATGGAATCAAATGCAATCATCGTCGAATGGAATCGAATGGAATCATCGAATGGAATCCAATGGAATCATCAACGAATGGAATCATTATTGAATAGAATCGAATGGAATCATTGAATGGAATCATCATCAAATGGAGTCCAATGGAATCATCGAATTGCCTCGAATGGAATCATCATTGAATGGAATCGAATACAATCATTGAATGGAATCAAATGCAATCATCATCAAATGGAATCGAATGATATCATCGAATGCATTCGAAAAGAATCATCAACGAATGGAATTGAATTGTGTCATTGAATGGAATAGAATGGAGTCATCTTCGAGTGGAATCTAAAGGATTCACTAAGTGGACTCCAATGGAATAATCATCAGATGGAATTGAGTGGAATCATCGAATGTACTCGAATGGTATCATCGAATGGAATTGAACGGAATCATTGAATGGATTCGAATGGAATAGTCATCGAATGGATTCAAGTGGAATGATCAAATGGACTCGAATGGAATCATCAAGTGAAATGATCGAATGGACTCGAATGGAATCATCATCGAATGGATTTGAATGGAATCATTGAATACACTCGAATGGAACCATCATCGAATGGAAATGAATGGAATCATCAAATGGACACGAATGGAATCATTGTTGAATGGAATTGAATGGAATCATTGAATGGACTCGAATGCAATCATCGAATGGACTCGAATGGAATCATCATAGAATGGAATCAAATAGAATCATCGAATGGACTCGAATGGAGTGATCAAAAGGACTTGAAAGGAATTATCGAATGGACTCAAATGGAATCATCAAATGGACTCTAATGCAATCATCATCGAATGGAAAAGAATGGAATCATCAAATGGACTTGAATGGACTCATTGAATGGACTCAAATGGAATCATCAAATGGACTCGAAAGGAATTATCAAATATACTCGAATGGAATCATCGAATGGACCCTAATGGAATCATCATCGAATGGAAAAGAATGGAATCATCAAATGGACTCGAATGGAATCATCCAATGGACTCGAATGGAATCATCGAATGGATTCTAATGGAATCATCATTGAATGGAATCGAATGGAATCATCGAATGTGCTCAAATGGAGTCATCATCGAATGGAACCGAATGGAATCATCGAATTGACTTGAATGGAGTCATCATCAAATGACATTGAATGGAATAATCAAATGGACTCGAGTGGAATCATCGTCAAATGAAATCGAATGTAATCGTCGAATGGACTTCAATGGAATCATCATCGAATGGAATCGAATGGAATGATCGATTGGACTCCAATGGAATCATCGAATGAACTCAAATGGAATCATCATCAAAAGGAATCAAATGAAATCATCATCAGATGGAATCAAATGGAATCATCACTGAATGGAATCGAATGGAATCATCGAACGGAATGAGATGGAATCATCATCGAATGGAATCAAATAGAAGCATTGAATGAAATCAAATGGAATCATAATCGAACGGAATCGAATGGAATCATCATTGAATGGACTCGAATGGAAACATCATCATATGGAATTGAGTGGAATCATCATCGAATGGAATCAAATGGAAACATCATCGAATAGAATCAAATGGAATCATCATGGAATTGAATCGAATGGTTCATCATCAAATGGAATCGAATGGAATCATCGAATGGAATCAAATGGATTAATCATCTAATGGAATCGAATGGAACCATCGAATGAAATCGGATGGAATTATCTTCAAATGGAGTCGAATGGAATCATCATCAAATGGAATCAAATGGAATCATCAACAAAGAGAATCAAAAGGAATCATCATCGAATGGAATCGAATGGAATCATCAACGAATGGAATCGAATGGAATCATCACAGAAAGGAATCATAGGGAATCATGGAAAGGAATTGAACGGAATCATCAAATGGAATCAAATGGAATAATCATCAAATGGAATCTAATGGAATCATCAAATGGACACGAATGGAATAATCAAATGGACTCAATGGAATCATTGAATGGAACCGAATGGAATCATAGATTGGACTCGAATGGAATCATCATCAAATGGAATTGGATGGAATCAAAGAAGGGATTTCAATGGAATAATCAAATGGATTCGAATGGAATCAGCATCGAATGGAATCGAATTGAATCATTGAATGGACTCGAATGGAATCATCATCGAATGGAATCAAGTGAAATCATCATCAGATGGAATCGAATGGAATCATCACTGAATGGAAATGAATGGAATCATCAAATAGACTCGAATGGATTAATCGAATGGACTCGAATGGAATCATAGAATGGAATCAAATGGAATCTTCGAATGGACTCGAATGGAATCATCATCAAATGGAATCGGGTGGAATCAACGAAGGGACTCGAATGGAATCATCAAATGGACTCGAATGGAATCATCATCAAATGGAATCAAATGGAATTATCGAATGGAATCGAATGGAATCATCATCGAATGAAATCCAATAGAAGCATTCAATGGAATCGAATGGAATCATAGAATGGAATCAGACGGAATCGTCATCGAATGGAATCGAATAGAAACATCGAATGAAATCGAATGGAATCATCATCAAACGGACTCGTATGGAATCATCATTGAATGGATTTGAACGGAATCATCATCGAATGGATTCCAATGGAATCATCATCGAATGGAATCGAAGGGAAACATCATGTAATTGAATCAAATAGAATAATCATGGAATTGAATTGAATTGCTCACCATCGAATGGAATCGAATGGAATCATCAAATGGAATCCAATGGAATCATCATCGAATGGAATCAAATGGAGTCATCATCGAATGGAATAAAATGGAATCATCCAATGGAAGAGAATGGAATCATCATCGAATGGAATCGAAAGGAATCATCATCGAATGGAATTGAATGGAATCATCCAATATAAGAGTATTGAATCACCATCGAATGGAATCGAATAGAATCATCCAATGAAATTGAATGTAATCATCATCGAATGGAATCAAATCATCAATGAACAGAATCGAATAGAATCATAGAATGGAATCCAATGTAATCATCATCGAATTGAACCCAATGAATTCATTAAATGGACTCGAATGGAATCATCGAATGGACTCGAATGGAATCATCATCGAATGGAATTGAATGGAATAATCGAATGGTATAGAATGTAATCATCATCGAATGGAATTGAAAGGAATCATCAAATGGACTTGAATGGAGTCATTGAATGGACTCGAATGGCATCATCATCGAATGGAATTGAAAGGGATCATCAAATGGACTTGAATGGAATCATTGAATGGACTCGAATGGAATCATCATCGAATGAAATCGAATGGAATCACCAAATGGACACTAATGGAATCATCATCTAATAGCATTGAATGGAATTATTGAATGGACTCAAATGGAATATCATCGAATGGAATTAAAAGCAATCATCGAATGGACTCCAATGGAATTATTGAATGGACTCGAATGGAATCAGTATAGAATGGACTCAAATGGACTTAACGAATATCCTCAAATGGAATCATCGAGTTTACCCGAATGGAATCATTATTGAATGGAATCAAATGGAATCATCAAATGGAATCGAATGGACTCATCGAATGCAATTGATCGGAATCATCATCGAACAGAATCAAATGGAATCATCAAATGGAATCGAATGCAGTCATCATCAAATGGAATCGAGTGGAATCATCTTCGAATAGAATCGAATGGAATCGAATGCAGTCATCATCAAATGGAATCGAGTGGAATCATCTTTGAATAGAATCGAATGGAATCATTGAATGGAAGTGAATGGAATCATCGTCGAATTCAGTCAAATGGAATCATCGAATGGAATCAAATGGAATCATCAAATGGAATTGAATGGAATCAGCATCGAACGAAATCGAATGGAATCATCATAGAATAGAATCGAATGGTATCATAGAATGGAATCATCATCAAATGGAGTCCAACGGAATCATCAAATGGACTCGAATGGAATCATCATAGAATGGAATTGAATGGAATCATTGAATGGAATCGAATGGAATTATCATCAAATGGAACCGAATGGTATCATCGAATGCACTCTAATGGAATCATCGATGAATGGTATCGAATGGTACCATCAAATGGAATTGAATGGAATAATCTTCAATTGGCATCAAAAGGAATCACCGAATGGACTCGAATGGAATAACCATCGAAAGGAATCGAATGGAATCATCGAATGGAATCCAATAGAATCATCACTGAATGGACTAGAATGGAATCATCATCGTATGGAATCGAATGGAATCATCAATTGGAATTGAATGGAATCATCATCGAATGTAATCAAATGGAATCATCATCGAATGGAACAAAATGGAATCATCATCAAATGGAATCAAATGGAATCATCATCGAATGGAATTGAAATGAATTAACATCAAATCTAGTGGAATGGATTCATTATCGAATGGAATCCAAAGGAATCATCATCGAATGGAACCGAAAGGAAACGTCAACGAATGGAAACAAAAGGGGTCATTATCGAATGGAATTGCATGGAATCATCATCGAATTAAATCGAATGGAATCATCATCAAATGGAATCTAGTGGAATTATCGAATTGAATTGAATGGAATCATCATTGAATGAATTGAATGGAATCATCGAATGGTCTCAAATGGAATTATTATCAAATGGAATTGAAAGTATTCACCGAATAGAATCGAATGGAATAATCATCGAATGGACTCGAATGGAATCATCATCAAATGGAATCAAAAGGAATTATTGAATGGAATCGAATAGAATCATTGAATGGACTCGAATGGAATCATCAAATGGAATGGAATGGAATAATCAATGAACACAAAAGGAATCATCATGGAATGGAATTGAATGGATTCATCGAATAGAATCAAATGGAATAATCATCGAATGGAATCAAATGGAATCATCATCGAATGGAATCGAATGGAATGATCAAATGGAATCGAAGGCAATCATCATTGACTGGAATCAAATGGAATCATTGAATGGAATCGAATGGAATCATTCTCAAGTGGAATCTAGTGGAATCATCGAAAGAAATAGAATGGAATCATTCTCAAATGGAATGGAATCAAATAATGGAATTGAATGGAATCACCAATGAATTGAATTAAATGGAATCATCATCGAACGGATTTGAAGGGAATCATTATTGGAATCAAATAGTATCACCATCGAATGGAATTGTGTGGAATCATCTAATGCGCATGAATAGAATAATCATCGAATGGAATCGAATGGGATCATCTAATGTACTCGAATGGAATCATCATTGAATGGAATAGAATGGAATCATCGAATGGAATCGAATGGAATCATCATTGTATGGAATTGAGTGGAATCATCGAATGGACCTGAATGTAATCATCGGAGAATGGAATCAAATGGAATCATCAAATGGACTCGAATGAAATCATCATTGAATGGAATCGAATGGATTCATTGAATGGACTCGAATGGATTCATCAACGAATATAATCTAAAGCAATCATCAAATGGATTCTAATAGAATCATCGAATGGACTCGAATGGAATCATCATCAAATGGATTCAAATGGAATCATTGAATGGACTCGAATGAAATCATCATCGAACGGAGTCAAATGGAATCCACGAATGGAATGGAATGGAATGGAATCATCATCGAATGGAATCGAAAGGAATCACTGAATGGACTCGAATGGAATCAAGGATTGGACTCAAATGGAATTATGGAATGGGCTCGAATGGAAGCATCGAATGGACTCGAGTGGAATCATTATCGAATGGAATTAAATGGAATCATAGAATGGAATCAAAAGGAATCATCGAATGGAATTGATCAGAATCTTCATCGAATGGAATCAGATGGAATCATCGAATGGAATTGAATGCAGTCATCATCGAATGGACTCGAATGGAATCATGATCAAATGGAATCGAATGGAATCATCGAATGGTATTGAATGGAATCATCATTGAATGGAATCTAATGGAATAATCGAATGAACTCGAATGGAATCATCGAATGGAGTTGAATGGAATCATCATCAAATGAAATCGAATGGAATCATCGAATAGCATCGAATGGAATCATCGTCGAATGGAGTCGAATGGAATCATCGAATGGACTCGAACGGAATCGTCATGGAATGTAATCCAATGGAATCTTCGAATGGACTCCTGTGGAATCATCATCGAATTCAATCAAATGGAATCATCATCAAATTTAATCGAATGGAGTCATCATCGTATGGAATCGAGTGGAAGCATTGAATAGGCTCAAAAGAAATCATCAGAGAATGGAATCAAAAGCAATCATCAAAGGGACTCGAATGGAATCAACTTCGAATGGAATCGAATGGAGTCATCGAATGGACTAGAATGGAATCATCATCGAATGGAATCGAATGGAATAATTGAATGGACAAGAATGCAATCATCATTGAATGGAATCGAATGGAATCAGCAAATGGCATTGAATGGAATCATCATCGAAAGAATGACTCGAATGGAATCATCGAATGGAGACGAATGGAATCATCATCGAATGGAATAGATGGGAAACATCGAATAGCATTGAATGGAATCATCCTCGAACGGAGTCAAATGAAATCATCGAATGGACACAAATGGTATCGTTATGGAATGCAATCAAATGGAATCTTCGAATGGACTCAAATCAAATCATCATCGAATGCAATCGAATGGAATCATCATCGAATGGAATCGAATGGAATCATCATTGAATGGAATCGAATGGAATCATTGGATGGAATAGAATTGAATCTTCATCAAATGGAATCAAATAGAATCATTGAATGAAATGGAATGGAATCATCATCAAATGCAATTAAATGGAATCATCATTGAAAGGACTCAAATGGAATCATCGAACAGAATCAAATGGAATCCTCATCGAATGAAATCAAATGAAATCATCAAATGGACTCGAATGGAGTCATCATTGAATGGAATTGAATGGAATAATGGAATGCACATGAATGGAATCATCGAATGGACTCGAATGAAATCAACATCGAGTGGAATTGAAAGGAATCATCGAATGGACTTGAATGGAATCATCAAATGGACTCTAATGGAATCTTCATCAAATAGAATCGAATGGAATCATTGAATGGATTCGAATGGAATCATCATCAAATGGTATCAAATGGGATCATCAAATGGAATCGAATGGAATCATCATTGAATGGAATCGAATGGAATGATAGAATGGAATCGAATGGAATCATCATTGAATGGAATCAAATGGAATTATCAAATGGAATCGAATGGAATCATCATTGAATGGAATCGAATGGAATCATAGAATGGAATTGAATGGAATCATAATCAAATGGAATCGAATGGAATCATCAATGAATTGAATTGAATGGAATCATCCAATGGACTCGAATGGAATTATCATCAAATGGAATCGAATGGAATCATTGAATGGACCAGAATGGAATCATCATCTAATGGAATCAAATGGAATCATTGAATGGAATGGAATGGAATCATCATCAAATGGAATCCAATGGAAACATGGAATGGAATTGAATGGAATCATCATTGACTGGAATTGAATGGAATCATCGATTGTAGTCAAATAGAATCATCATTGAATGAAATTGAATGGAATCATTGAATAGAATCGAATGGAATCATCGTCAAATGGAGTCGAACAGAATCATAGAATGGAATCGAATTGAATCATAATGGAATGTAATCGAAGGGAATCTTCGAATGGACTCGAATAGAATCATCACCGAATGGAATAGAATGGAATCATCATCGAATCAAATTGAATGGAACCATCATCGAATGGAATCATCATCAAATGGAATCATCGAATGGAATAGAATTGAATCATCATTGAATGGAATCGATTCGAATCATAGAATGAAATCGAATGGAATCATCATCGAATTTAATCTAATGGAATCATGAACGAATGGAATCGAATGGAATCATAGAATGGAATCCAATGTAATCATCATCGAATTGAACCCAATGGAATCATTAAATTGAATCGAATGGAATCATCAAATGGAGTCGAATGGAATCATCATCGAATGGAATAGAATGGAATCATCAAATACAATCGAATGGAATCATCATCGAACTAAGACAAATGGAATCATCGAATGGACATAAATTGAATCATCGAATGGACATGAATGGAATCATCATGGAAAGGAATAGAGTGGAACCATCGAATGGACTCGGATGGAATCATCATCATATGGAATTGAAAGGAATCATCAAATGGACTTGAATGGAATCATTGAATGGATTCAAATGGAATCATCATTGAATGGAATTGAATGGAATCATTGAATGTACTCGAATGGAGTCATCATCAAATGGACTCAAATGGAATGATCGAATGGACACGCATGGAATCATCGAATGGACTTAAATGGAATTATCGAATGGGCTCGAATGGAATCATCGAATGGACCAGAATGGAATCATTATCGAATGGAATCAAATGGAATCATCGAATGGAATCAAATGGAATCATCGAATGGAATTGAATGGAATCAGCATCGAATGAAATCGAATGGAATCACCAACGAATAGAATCGAATGGAATCATTGAATGGAATCATCATCAAATGGATTCCAATGGAATCATCAAATGGACTCGAATGGAATCATCATCAAATGGAATCGAATGGTATAATCGAATGCATTCAAATGGAACCATCAATGAATGGTATTGAATGTTATCATTGAATGGAATGGAATGGAATCATCTTCAATTGGAATGGAAAGGAATCACCGAATGGATTCAAATGGAAACATCATTGAAAGACATCGAATGGAATCATCTAATCGAATCGAATGGAATCATCATCAAATGTAATCGAATGGAATCATCGAATGGGACTCAAATGGAATAATCATCATATGGAATCGAATGGAATCATCTAATGAAATCGAATGGAATCATCTTCGAATGGAATCAAATGGAAACATCATCAAATGGAATTGAAAGAATCAACATCAAATGGAGTCAAAAGGAATAATCATCAAATGGAAATGAATGGAGTCATCATCCAACGGAATCGCATGGAATCATCATCGAATGGCATCGAATGGAATAATCATCAAATGGATTCTAATGGAATCATCTAACGGAATTGAATGGAATCATCATCGAATGAAGTGAATGGAATCATTGAATGGTCTCGAAAGGAATCATCATCAAATGGAATCGAATGGAATCATCATTGAATGGAATTGAATAGAATCCTCATCGAATATAATGTAATGGAATCATCAACGAATGGAATTGAATGGAATTTTCATCAAATGGAATTGAATGGAATCATCATAAAATAGAATCGAATGGGATCATCAAATGAAATCGAATGGAATCATCACCAAAAGGAATCGAAATAAAACAAAGAATGGAAGCCAATGGTATCATTGAATGGAATCGAATGGAGTCATCATTGAATAGACTCGAATGGAGTCATCATCGAATGGAAAGGAATGGAATCATCTAATGGACTCGAATGTAATCATTGAATGCACTTGAATGGAATCATCGAATGGAATAATCACCAAATGAAATCAAATGGAATCATCAAATGGACTCGAATGGAAATATCATCGAATGGAGTCGAATGAAATCATGGAATGCACACGAATGGAATAATCGAATGGACTCAAATGGAATCAACATTGAGTGGAATCAAAAGGAAACGTCAAATGGACTTCAATGGAATCATCGAATGGACTCGAATGGAATCTTCAAATGGAATCGAAAGCAATCTTCGAATAGACTTGAATGGAATCATTGAATGTACTCGAAAGGAATCATCATCGAATGGAAACAAATGGAATCATCGAATGGACCCGAATGGAATCACCATCGAATGGAATAGAATGGAATCACCAAATGGAATTTAATGGAATCATCGAATGGACCCGAATGGAATCACCATCGAATGGAATTGAATGGAATCATCGAATGGAATCCAATGGAATCATCATTGAATGGAATCGAATGGAATCATCATCAAATGGAATATAATGGAATCATCATCAAATGGAAAAGAATGGAATCATCAACGAAATGAATCAAATGGAGAAATCGAATGAAATCTGTTACAGTCATCATCAGATGGAACCGAATGCAGTCATCATCGAATGGAATCGAATGGAATCATCAAATGGTTTAGAAGGGAATTATCATAGAATGGAATTGAATGGAATCACCGAATGGGCTCGAATGGAATCATCTTCAAATGGAATTGAATGAAATCATCGAATGGACAAGAATGGAATCATTGTTGAATGGAATCAAATGGAATCATCTAATGGCATTGAATGGAATCATCATCAAATGGAATCTAACGGAATCATCGAATGGACTCGAATGGAATCATCAAATGGAATTGAATGAAATCATAATCAAATGGAATTGAATGGAATCATCATCGAATGGAGTCAAATGGAATCATCATTGAATACAATCGAGTGGAATCACCGAATTGAATCAAATGGAATGATCATCGAATGGAATCAAAGGGAATCATCGAATGGGATCAAAAGGAGTCATTGAATGGAATCAAGTGGAATCATTGAATGGATTCGAATGGAATAATCATCAAATGGAATCGAATGGAATCATCGAATGGACTCAAATGGAATCATCATCGAATGGAATCAAATGGAATAATCGAATGGACACAAATGCAATCATCATTGAATGGAATCGAATGGAATCATCATTGAAAGGAATCTAATGGAATCATCGAATGGAAACAAATGGAAACATCATCAAATATACTCAACCGGAAACATAGAATGTAATCAAATATAATCATCATCAAATGTAAAAGAATAGAATAATCAAACGGAATTGACTTGAATCAACATCGCATGGAATTGAATGGAATCATAGAAATGTATCAAATCTAATCATCATCGAATGGAATCAAATGTAATCATCATCAAATGGAATCCAAAGCAATTACTGAATTGACTTGAATAGAATCATTGAATGGAGTTGAAAGGAATCATCATCAAATGGAATAGAATGGAATCATTGAATGGACTCAAATGGAATCATCATCAAATTGAATCAAATGAAATCATCGAATGAACTCAAATGGAATCATCATCGTATGGAATCAAATGTGATCACCTTCAAATGGAATCATTGAATGGACTCGAATGGAATGATCAAATGGACTCGAATGGAATCATCAAAAGGAATCAAATGAAATCATTGAATGGACTTGAATGCAATTATCAAATGCACTCGAATGGAATCATTGAATGGACTCTAATGGGATCATCATCGAATGGAAATGAATGGAATCATCAAATGTACACGAATGGAATCATTGAATGGACTCGAATGGAATCATCAAATGTACACGAATGGAATCATTGAATGGACTCGAATGGAATCATCGAATGCACTCAAATGGAATAATCATCAAATGTAATCAAATGGAATCATCCAATGGAATCATCAAATGGAATCGAATGGAATCATCTTCGAATGGAACTGAATGGAATCATTGAATGAAATCAAAGGCAATCATTGTCGAATGAAATCAAATGGAAATATCATCGAATATAATTGAATGGAATCATTGAATGGAATCAAATGGAATCATCGTAAATGGAATCAAGTGGAATCATCAAATGGAATCTAACGGAATCATTGTTGAATGGAATGGAATGGAATCATTGAATGGAATTGAATGGAATCACCAATGAAGGGAATCAAATGGAATCATTGTCAAATGGAATCAAGTGTAATCATCGAATGGAATCTAATGGAATCATTGTCAAATGGAATGGAATGGAATCATTGAATGGAATTGAATGGAATCACCAATGAATGGAATCGAATGGAATCCTCATCAAATGGTTTCAAATGGAATCATCAAATGGACACGAATGGAATCAACATCGAATGGAAACATGTGAAATCATCAAATGAACTCGAAATGAATCATAATCGAATGGAATAAAAATGAATCATCATCGAAGGGAATCACATGGAATCATCATGGAATGGAATCGTACAGAATCATCATCAAATGGAATTGAATGGAATCATCAATTGGACTCGAATGGAATCATCAAAAGGAATCGAATGGAAGCATCAAATGGACTCGAATGGAATCATCAAATGGACTTGAATCGAATCATAAAATGGACTCGATTGGAATCATTATATAATGGAATCGAATAGAGTAATCGGATGGACTTGAATGGAATCGTCATGGAGTGGAATCTATAGGAATCATCGAATGCACTCGAATGGAATCATCATCGAATGGAATTGAATGGGATCATCGAATGGACTCAAATGGAAGCATCATCAAATGGAATCCTTTGGAACCATCGAATGGAAAGGAACGGTATTATCAGATAGAATTGAATGGTATCATCTTTGAATGGATTCGAATGGAATCATCCTAAGGAATCGAATGCAATCATCATCAAATGGAATCATATAGACTCATTGAATGGAATCGACTGGAATCACCATTGAATGGACTCGAATGGAATCATCATAGAATAGAATCAAAAGGAATCACCAAATGGACTCAAATGGAATCATCATCGAATGGAATTGAATGGAATCATCGAATGGGATAGAATGGAATCATAATAAAATGTAATCAAATGGAATCATCATCAAATGGAATCGAATAGAACCGTCGAATGGAATAGAATGGAATCAACATCGAACAGAATCAAATGGAATCATAGAACGGTATTGAATGGAATCATCATCGAATGGAATTGAAAGCAATCATTGAATGGACTCAAATAGAATCATTGAATGGAATTGAGTGGAATCATCATTGAATGGAGTAGAATGGAATCATCGAATGGGCCCTAATGGAATCACCATCGAATTGAATCCAATGGAATCATCGAATGGACTCGAATGGAATCATCACCCTATGGAAAATAATGGAATCATCATCGAATGGAATCATCTAACAGACCCAAATGGAATCATCATTGAATGGAATAAAATGGAATCATAATCAAATGGAATCGAATGGAATCATCTAATGGACCCAAATGGAATCACCATTGAATTGACTAGAATGGACTCATCATCGAATGGAATAGAATGGAATCATCTAATGGACACGAATAGCATCAACACTGAATAGAATCTAATGGAATCATCTAATGTACTCGAATGGAATCATCATCTAATGGAATAGAATAGAATCATCAAATGGAATCAAATGGAATCTTCATCGTATGGAATCGAGTGGAATCACTGAATGGATTTGAATGTAATCATCAGAGAATGGAATCCAATGGAATCATCGAATGGATTCGAATGGAATCATCATCGAATGGAATCGAATGGAATCATCTAATGGACACAAATAGCATCAACATTGAATGGAATCTAATGGAATCATCTAATGTACTCGAATGGAATCATCATCTAATGGAATAGAATGGAATCATCAAATGGAATCGAACAGAATCTTCATCGTATGGAATCGAGTGGAATCATCGAATGGATTTGAATGTAATCATCAGAGAATGGAATCCAATGGAATCATCGAATGGATTCGAATGGAATCATCATCAAATGGAATCGAATGGAATCATCTAATGGACACGAATAGCATCAACATTGAATGGAATCTAATAGAATCATCTAATGTACTCGAATGGAATCATCATCTAATGGAATAGAATGGAATCATCAAATGGAATCGAACAGAATCTTCATCGTATGGAATCGAGTGGAATCATTGAATGGATTTGAATGTAATCATCAGAGAATGGAATCCAATGGAATCATCGAATGGATTCGAATGGAATCATCATCGAATGGAATCGAATGGAATCATCTAATGGACACGAATAGCATCAACATTGAATGGAATCTAATGGAATCATCTAATGTACTCGAACGGAATCATCATCGAATGGAAAATAATGGAATCATCATCGAATGGAATCATCTAACGGACCCGAATAGAGTCATCACTGAATGGAATAAAATGGAATCATAATCGAATGGAATCAAATGGAGTCATCTAATGGACCCAAATGGAATCACCATTGGATTGAATAGAATGGAATCATCATCGAATGGAGTAGAATGGAATCATCATCTAATGGAATAGAATGGAATCATCAAATGGAATCGAATGGAGTCATGATCATATGGAATTGAATGGAATTATCTAACGGACTCGCATGGAATCAACATTTAATGGAATATAATGGAATCACCATCGAATGGAATCAAATGGAATCATCTAATGGACCCGAATGGAATCATCACTGAATGGAAAAAAAATGGAAACAACATCGAATGGAATCAAAAGGAATCATCTAATGGACATGAATGGAATCATCATTGGATTGAATAGAATGAAATCATCATCGAATGTAATCGAATGGAATCATTGAAAGCACACAAATAGCATCATCATTGAATGGAATTGAATGGAATCATCTAATGTTCTCGAATGGAATCATCAATGGAATAGAATTGAATCATCGACAGGAAACGAATGGAGTCATCATCATATGGAATCGAGTGGAATCATCGAATTGACTCAAAAGTAATCATCAGGGAATGGAATCGAGTGGAATCATCGAATGGACTCGAATGGAATCATCATCAAGTGTAATCGAATGGAATCATCTAATGGACCTGAAGGGAATCATCATTGAATGGAATTGAATGGAATTATTGAATGGACTCGAATGAAATCATCATTGAATATAATCAAAAGCAATTATCAAATGGATTCAAATAGAATCATCAAATGGCTCGAATGGCATCAGCATCAAATGGAATCACACGGAATCACCGAATGGACTCGAATGGAATCGTCATCGAATGGAATCGAACGTAATCATTGAATGGACTCGAATGGAATCATCATCAAATGGAATCACACGGAATCACCGAATGGACTCGAATGGAATCGTCATCGAATGGAATCGAACGTAATCATTGAATGGACTCGAATGGAATCATCATCAAATGGAATCAAATGGAATCACTGAATGGACTCGAATGGAATCGTCATCAAATGGAATAAAAGGGAATCATTGAATGAACTCAAATGCAATCATCATTGAATGGAATCGAATGGAATCATCATCGAATGGAATCAAATGGAATCATTGAATGTACTCAAATGGAAAGATCATCGAATGGAATCATATGGAATCATCTAACTGACTCGAATGGAATCATCATCAAATGGAATCGAATGGATTCATCGAGTGGACTCTAATGGAATCATCATCGAATGGAATCAAATGGAATCATCGATTGGACACGAATGGAATCATCGAATGGACTCTAATGGAGTCATCATCGAATGGAATCAAATGAAATAATCATCCAATGGAATCATCACTGAATAGAATCAAATGTGAATCATCGAATGGAATGAGATGGAATCATCATTGAATGGAATCAAATAGAAGCATCATATGAAATCCAAA
>NT_187384.1:57411-102096 GCF_000001405.40 Homo sapiens | reverse complement strand
GAATCACCATCGAATGGAATCGAATGGAAATATCATCGAATTGAATCAAATGGAATCATGATGGAATTGAACTGAATGGCTCATCATCGAATGGAATCAAATGGAATCATCGAATGGAATCAGATGGAATCGTCATTGAATGGCATCAAATGGAATCATCAAATGGAATCGAATGGAATCATCATTGAAAGGAATCGAATGGAACCATTGAATGAAATCAAATGGAATCATCATCAAATGGAGTCGAATGGAAATATCATCGAATTGAATCAAATGGAATCATGATGGAATTGAACTGAATGGCTCATCATCGAATGAATTCGAATGGAATCATCGAATGGAATCGAATGGGATCATCATTGAAAGGAATCGAATGGAACCATCAAATGAAATCGAATGGAATCACCATCGAATGGAGTCGAATGGAATCATCATCGAATGGAATCTATTGGAATCATCAATTAAGAGAATTGAATGGAATCATCATCGAACGGTATCAAATGGAATCATCAACAAGTGGAATCAAATGGATTCATCGAATGGAATCCCATGGAATCATCATCAAATGGAACCGAATGGAATCATTGAATGGACTCGAATGGAATCATCACCGAAGGGACTCTAATGGAATCATCATTGAATTGAATCAAATGGTGTCATTGAATGGACTCAAGTGGAATCATTGAATGGACTTGAATGGAAACATCATTGAATGGAGTCAAATGGAATCATCAAATGGCAACGAATAGCATCATCAATGAATGGAATCTAAGGGAATAATTGAATGGACTCGAATGGAATAATCAAATGGACTCGAGTGGAATCATCATCATATGGAATCTTCGAATGGACTCGAATGGAATCTTCATCAAATGGAATCGAATGGAATCATCACATAGACTCAAATGGAATCATTGTCAAATGGAATCTAATGGAATCATCGAATGGACTTGAATGGAATCATCATCGAACGGTATCGAATGGAATCATCAAATGGAATGGAATGGAATCATCATCGAATGGTATCGAATGGAATCTACGAATGGACTCGATTGAAATCTTCATCGAATGCAATCAAATGGAATCATCCGCAAAAGGAATCAAATCGAACCATCATCGAATGGAATCAAATGGAATTATCCAATGGAATAGAATTGTATCATCATCAAATGGAATCAAATAGAATCATCGAATGAAATCGAATGAAATCATAATCGAGTGTAATTGAATGGAATAATCATAGTTTGGAATCGAATGGAATCATCATCAAATGGAATAAAAAGGAATCATCCAATGGAATATAATTGAAACATCATCGAATGGAATCGAATAGAATCATCGAATGGAATCGAATAGCATCATCAAATGAAATTGAATGGAATAATAATCGAATGGAATCAAATGGAATCATCATCAAATGGAATCGAATGGAATCATCATCAAATGGAATCGAATGGAAGCATCCAATGTAATAGAATTGAATCATCATCAAATAGAATCATCAAATGAAATCGAATGGAATCATCATTGAATGGACTTAAATGGAGTCATCGAATGGACTCGAATGGAATCATCATCGAATGGATTAGAATGGAATCATCGAATGGAATCGAAAGGAATCATCATCAAATGAAATCAAATGGAATCATCGAATGGACTCTAATGGAATCTTCAAATGGACTTGAATGGAATCATTGAATGAACTCGAATGGAATCATCATTGAATGAAATCGAATGGAATCATCGAATGGACACGAATGGAATCACCATCGAATGGAAACGAATGGAATCATAGAATGGAATTGAATGGAATCATCATTGAATGGAATCAAATGGAATCATCATCAAATGCAATCGAATGGAATCTAAAGGAATCATCATGTAATGGAATCGAATGGAAACATCAACGAATGGAATCGAATGGAGAAATCGAATGGAATCTGCAGGAATCATCATCGAATGGAAACGAATGCAGTCATCATCAAATGGAATCGAATGGAATCATCATCGAAAGGAATCGAAAGGAATCATGGAATGGAATCGAATGGAATCATCAAATGGAATTGAATGGAATCATCATCAAATGGACTCGAATGCAATTATCAGTGAATGGAATTGAATGGAGTCATCGAATGGACTTGAATGGAATAACTGAATGGACTTGAATGGAATAATCGAATGGACTAAAATGGAATCATCAAATGGAATCGAGTGGAATGATCAAATGAACCCGAATGGAATCATCATCAAATGGAATCGGATGGAATCATCGAATGGACTCGAATGGAAACATCAAATGGACTTGAATGGAATTATGGAATGGTCTCGAATGAAATAATCAAATGGACCCTAATGGAATCATCATTGAATGGAATCTAATGGAATCATCAAATGGACTCGAATGGGATCATTGAATTGACTCGAATGAATCCATCAAATGGATTCGAATGGAATCATCTTTGAATGGAATCGAATGGAATCCTTTAATAGAATCAAATGGAATTATGAAATGGAATCGAACGGAATCATCATTGAATGGAATTGAATAGAATCATCAAATGGAATCAAAGGCAATAATCATCAAATGGAATCAAACGGAATCATCGAATGGAATCGAATGGAATCATCCTCAAGTGGAATTGAGTGGAATCATCGAATGGAATCGAATGGAATCATTGTCGAATGGAATGGAATGGAATCAATGAATGGAATTGAATGGAATCACCAATGAATGGAATTGAATGGAGTCATCATCGAATGGAATCGAATGGATTCATCATAGAATGGAATCGAATAGAATTATGGAATGAAATCGAATGTGATCATCATCGAATTGACTCGAATGGAATCATCATCCAATGGAAACTAATGGAATCAACATCGAATGGAATAGAATTGAAACACCATCAAATTGAAATGAATGGAATTATCATGAAATTGAAATGGATGGACTCATCATCGAATGGATTCGAATGGAATCATCGAATGGAATTGATTGGAATCATCATTAAATGGAATCGAATGGAATCCTTGAATGGAATCGAATGGAATCATCATCGGATTGAAATGGATGGAATCATCATAGAATGGAATCAGATGGATTCGTTGAATGGAATCAGATAGAATCATTGAATGGACTTGAATAGAATCATCGAATGGACTCGAATGGAATCATTATTGAAAGGAATTGAATGGAATCATCGAATGGTCTCGAATGGAATCTTCATTGAATGGAATCGAATTTAATCATCGAATGGAATCAAATGGAATCATCATCGAATGGAATCAAATAGAATCAGCATCGAATAGAATCAAATGGAATCATCATCAATGGAATTGAATGCAATTTTCTTCAAATGGAATTGAATGGAAACATCATCGAATCGGATCGAATGGGATCATCGAATGAAACTGAATGGAATCATCATCAAAACGAATCAAAATAAAACAAAGAATAGAATCCAACAGAATCGTCAAATGGAATCAAATGGAATCATCATTGAATGGACTCGAATGGAGTCATGATCGAATGGAATCAAATGGAATCATTTAATGAACACGAATGGAATCATTGAATGGACTAGAATGGAATCATCGAATGGAATCTAATGTAATCATCATCGAATGAAATCAAATGGAATCATCGAATGGAATCGAATGGAATCATCATCAAATGGAATCGAATGAAATCATGGAATGCACACGAATGGAATCATCGAATGGACTCAAATGGAAACAACATCGAGTGGAATAGAATGGAATCACCGAATGGACCCGAAAGGAATCATCATCGAATGTAATCAAATGGAATCATCGAATGGAATCCAATGGAATCATCATTGAATGGAATCGAATGTAATCATCATCAAATGTAATTGAATGGAATCATCATCGAATGGAATAGAAAGGAATCATCATCAAATGGAATAGAATGGAATCATCAATGAATGGAATCGAATGGAGTCTTCGAATGGAGTCCGTTAGAATCATCATCGAATGGAACCGAATGCAGTCATCATCTAATGGAATCAAATGGAATCATCGAATGGACTCAATGGAATCATCATTGCATGGAATCAAATGGAATCATCGAATGGACTCAAATGGAATCATCATCGAATGGAATCGAATGGAATAATCGATTGGACATGAATGGAATCACCATCAAATGGAATCAAATGGAATCTTCGAATGGAATCGAATGAAATTATTTAACGGAATCAAATAGAATCATCATTGAATAGAATCGAAATGGATCATCATCGAATAGAATCTAATGAAATCATCATTGAATGGAATCTAGTGGAGTCATAATCTAATGGAATTGAATGGAACGAGCAAGGAATGGAATCGAATGGATAAATCAAATGGAATCCATTGGAATCATCATCGAATGGAACCGAATGCAGTCATCATAGAATGGAATTGAATGGAATCAATGAAGGGACTAGAATTGTGTCATCATTGAATGGAATCGGATGGAATCATCAAATGTACTCGAATGGAATCATCGAATGGACTCTAATGGAATCATCATTGAATAGAATCATCATCGAATGGAATCGAGTGGAATCCTAGAATGGAATCAAATGGAATCATCAAATGGAATCGAACAGATTTATAAGAAACTTACTTGAACCAAACAATAGGAAAAAAAACAAACCAAAACCCCCTAAAACTGTGATGAGCAAAGTAGACACCAGAACAGGAAATATCACTGGGGATGAAGAATAACATTTCAAAATGACAAAGGGGAAAATACACCAAGAAGTCATGTAAATAAGAAATATGTATGCACACAATAGCATTACTTCAAAATACATAATATAAAACCTATTAAAACTGAAAGGTAAAATAGTAAAACCATAGTCATCCATGGGGATTTCAACAGTCTCCTGCCAGAAATTTTTAAATTTTGTTAAACGAAATGTTGGGAAGGTTAGAGAGGATCTTAAAAATGTAATTAGCCAACTTGATCTAATTGAATCTTTTAGAATAATCTAAGGATGAGGAATGAGGTAGCAGAGAGAGAAAAGGCAGACATCAACGTGACATTAGTGTTTCAAGGCTATGAGAGTACACCAATAATGGTGTGTGTGTGTGTGCAGATGGTAAGCTCAATCTTAAAAATATTGAGTTTTAACTGACAATTTATTATTAGGAAAGATAAGAGGAAATGATACCTAGTGAGAGGCTATATGACTGAACTCTAAGAGAAAGGTCACAGCAGAAATTGTGTACTTGACAGCTCTATAAGGAGGTCAGTCAAAAATAAGTCAGTGATGAATTCTCTGGTGTAAAAGCAGAGGAATGAGGATTAGATTTAAAACACATGGAAGCAGAGTAACTTATGATAAAAACATGAGCTTGAAAATCCTGCAGAGAGGGCTTTAAATCCTGGGTATGATATTCTGCTTGTGTAGGCAATAGTGATAAAAACACAACAAAGAGAGGTAAAGAGCACTTTCCTTTGATATAAGTAAAGGGCACGTCTTATTGCACACACACACACACACACACACACACACATATATATGTATTGAACTGAGATTCAACATGTTTCTCTCATTGAAACAGCAAGCTCTCCAGGCCTTCATGTTCCCAGTGAGGTAGGTAACCTTCTGATGATTATACTCACCCTCCCTCATTGCAAACCTCCCGTTGTTATTGTCTTGGCTCTGGATTCCCTCAAAAATAGACTATGAAACAAATATCTGGGGTCAGATACTTTAATCAGAAATTGAGTGAGAAAACACAGAAATGGAGAAAATGAAACAGAACATGAAGCCAGTGTGAATGAGTAGTTACTGCTATGTGCTCAGTAATGATGGAGGTATGGAGATTGTCTCAAACTAACTTTACAAAGAGATGGTGATGCTGGAATCCCCATCTATTATTGCTTAAGGATTGCCTTAGAATCATTAACTCTCCACCCCTAACTCCTTCTTTGTTCCTATGTGTGGTTGAGAAGCACTGGTTAGCCTCAAGAAGCTTGCAGGCAGGCCCAAAAATCAGAAAGACAGGCATGATGTGGGGAGCACTCAGTTAGCTGGAAACAGGTGAATTTCAGGTGAACGCATTGAGTCCAGGACATACAAGACAAGTCATCAGCAATATCTGCTGTAGCCAGTTTTCTTTTTTTTTTTTAAGAATATATATACTTTTTATTGGGGGTCCCCAAGTCCCCCTTTGGTTTAATGATTCGCATAACCCAAGAAAGCTGATTTTTTTGTGGTTATAGTTTCTAACAGTGAAAGAAACCAGATTAAAATAATCAGAAGCATAAAAGCACATAAAGTTGAGTCCAGGACAAACCAGATGTGAGCTTACAGGTGTCCTTTCATAGTGGGGATTTCACACTGACTAATTTTCTTTACAATGGTGTGAGACAACATGTGTGAACTTGTTGCCAACTAGGGAAGCTCAGTCAGTCTTGAGTCCAGGGTTTTTATTAGGATTCCACCACATATGCATTGAGCGTCCTGTGACTGAACTTAGCTACTTAGTTGCCAACCTCCCTATGCCCTAAAAGAGGTCATATTCATATGGCATTACACAAAGTCATAGGCATACAGAAACAGATGCTCACAAGAAATCACATTGTTAGCATCAGCTATTTGATATGACCTACGTTTTCAGGTATACAAAGACTCTCATCAGGCAACATATACCAAGGGCTCATAGGTTATTATCTCCCAGGAGCCTGTCAAGGGCCAGTCCTGAAGACCTTTGGAATGTGCAAGGTTTTGGAAAGCCATGTCTGCAGAATTAACCCTTCATTACACAACCTCTAAGAATTTTTTTTATCTTTAAAAATGTTCTTTGATCTTTGACAATGTACAAACCAATACGGAGTTATTAGTAACAATAGTGTACTCCTGAGTACTTGCACCTGCAAGGAGAAAGAGGACAGATGCACTTACATAGGACAGATGCAAATAGACACCACTATGACAAGTAAAGCTGGAATAATCAATAAATTCCTAAAGACAAAGTGGGGCTGGTGAGATTGGGAGACCGCTGACAGCTGCAGAAGTTGGGAAAGATCCATCATCTTGAAAACTTTTTCCCCACAAACCCACTGCGATCTCTCAAGCAATTGGTAAGGAATCCAAGAGAGTCTGTATATGACACAGATCAGGGAGAGCAGAACACTTGGGAGGTGACCAGGTCTTGGGGGCCGAGCCCTTATGAATGGGATTAGTGCCTTTATAAAAGAAGCTCAATGGAGTTCTTGTGTGCCTTCCACTATGTGAGGACATAGAAAGAAGGCACCATCTATGAACCATGAAATGGGCTCTCATCAACACTGAATTTGTGAGCATCTTGACCTGAGATCTTACAGCCTCAAGAAGTGTGAAAAAAGAAATATCTGTTGTTTTTTAGTTACCCGGTTTATTTTATTTTGTCATAAGAGTCCAAATAGACCAAGATATTCCACTTAATATGTAGGGGAAGGCAACAAAAACTGCCACACTTAGAATACTCCTGATGCTGGGAGTATGAAAACAGGAAAAACAAAACAAAACTGCTCTTGAAGGTGAAGGAGGAATATCACTGAGCTCACCAACACAGCCAGGGAAAGAACAGAAGTGTGAGAAGGTTACATTCCTGAGACCCTGAGAAAAAGTACCAGCATAAGACTGAGATGAAATTACCTACTCTAGTTATGATTGAAATCCCAAAAAGAAAAGAGGGAAAAATAATGGAGCAAAGGAAATATTTTTCAAAGTAACTGCCAAAAATATTCTAAAAGAAGTGACGGAAAATCAAACTTCAAATATAGGAAACTCAGAGAATGTCAAATAGAACAAAAAGAAATAAGAATTACAACTTGAAAAATCTTTAAAAAATCAAGTCTAAATTTTATATCTTGTTCCAAATATATAGAGATATAAATAGGTTATCATCAAGATATGGAGAAAGCCATAACATGGAAACACTAAAATAAGGCTGTGGAAGGACTATATTGATATTGGACACAACAGAGTTCGGAACAAGAAATAGTATCAGAGATGAGAGATAATAGATAATAGAATAATCAATTCTCAAGAAGATGTAAACATCCTCCTAATTAGGGTACGCAACTAACAACAGAACCTCCAAATACATGAGGTAAAACAGGAAAGAAATCAAAGGTGAACTAGAAAAATCCAAAATTATATTTGCCGACATCAACACTTTTGTCTTAGTAACGGAAAGACAAGGCACAAACTCAGTAATCATGTGGAAGATAAGAACAACAATATCACCAACAAGACATCCAATCTTCAATGGCAGATACTCTTTCCTTTCAAGTGAAAAAAAAAAACAGTATGGCATATTCTCTAACAAACCCAGAATTTCTAATACTTGCGTTCTTCCTTCTCTCTTTCCATCTTCCTTTCTCTTCTCTTCCCTTCCCTTGCCTTCTTCCTTCCTTTCTTCTTTTCCTCTTCCTTTTCTTTTCTTTTTTCTTTTCCTTTCCTTCTTTTCTTTCTTTTTTTCTCCTTCCTACCTTCTTTCCTTCTTTCTTTCTTTCCTCTTATTCTTCCTTCCCTCCTCCCTCCCTTCTTTCTCCCTCCCTTTTCTTCCTTCTTTACTCATATTCTTTCTTTCTTTCTCACGTTCTTGCTTTCTTTCCTTTTTTCTCCCTTCCTCCCACCCTCATTTTCTTCCTTCCTCCCTCCCTTCCTTTCCTCTTTTTCCTTCCTTCCTTCGCCTCTTTATTTTCTTTGTTTCTTTGCCTTCCTCCCTTTTACCATTCTCTCTTCCTCCTTTCCTTCCTCCCTTCCTCCTTTCTTTCTCTCTTTCTTTCTCTTTCTTTCTTTCTTTCTTTCCTTCCTTCTTTCTTTCTTGTGTTCATGCTTTCTTTTTTCTCCCTTCCTGCCTTTCTCCCTTCCTCCCTCCCTTCCTTCCCTCATTTCCTCCTTCTTTTCTTTCTTCTTTCTTTCTTTACTTCCTTCCTTCTTTCCTTCCTTCTTTTTCTTTCTTTGTTTTCTTTTCTTCCTTTCTCTTTACTACAATTAATATTATTTTTAAAAAAATTAAGAGAGGGAGACAGAAAAATAAAGAACTCTTTAATCTGCAGGTAAACAGATTATGACTGCTGTAGGTCAAAGTATGGCCTCCCAAAAATTTTCATGTCCTAATTCCCAGAGTATAACCTACAAATATGTTAGGTTTCACGACAGTGTGAATTAGATTTCAAGTGAAATTAAGGTTGCGGAAAAATGATAGAGAGATTGACTTAAATGGGTGGGATCAATGAAATCACAAACTTCATTATAAGTGAAAGAAGAAGGCAGAAGAAAGGCAACCTTGGAGGTGGTGGCATGAGAAATTACTCAACATCACTGACTTTTAAGATACAAGAATGAAGACCCAGCACGGTGGCTCACTCCTAATCCCAGTACTTTGGGAGGTTGGGGTTGGTTTATCATGAGGTCAGGAGATCGAGACCATCCTGGCTAACATGGTGAAACCCCATCTCTACTAAAAATACAAAAAATTAACTGGGCGTGGTGGCAAGTGCCTGTAGTCCAAGCTACTCAGGAAGCTGAGGCAGAAGAATCACTTGAACCCGGGAGGCAGAGGTTGCAGTGAGCTGAGATCGTGCCACTGCACTCCAGCCTGGGTGACAGAAGGAGACTCCATCTCAAAAAAAAAAAAAAAAGAAAAATAGGATCTAAGAATGAGGTCATGTTCTAAGGAATAAAGGTGACCTATGGTTGCTGAAAAAAATCAAGTAATACATTCTGCCACATAGCCCTCAGAAAGACTGCAGCCCTGCCCAAAACTTGATGTTAGCCCTGTGAGTTTCATTTAAGGCTTCTGAACTATAGAACTGTAGGATTAACGGTCACTTTATTGTAAGATATGAAGTTTGTGGTAATTGGTTACAGCAGCAAGAGGAAGTTTATATTGTAAGTGTATCATCAAAATGAGAACCATAATTTACAACTGCTTTTAATACTGCACTTGGATGTTTGAAATCACGTACATGGAAATGATCTCTATGTGCATGAGGGAGGATAGCAAATTGATGCCAAAATAATGCAAATGCAAATCTTGCACTCATTTCTATGTAGGTTTCATTTAATCTTTGAAATTAAAATGAAATTAAAAGATTGTGATCTTTTGATGAAATTGGGCTAAAATGAACAATAACAAAATAAGAACTTACTTATATTCTTTATATGGTCAATAAAGAAGTGATAGTGGAAAAAAACAGGATCAAATGAAGGTGAGGATTTAGGAAGTTGGAAAGATAGCTGAAACTACAAAATGGTATATAACCAGTGAACACTTAGACACACTGATTGATGAACTTCAGCTTTTGGCTTGGTGAGAGCATAAAATGAGAGCAGCTGAGGTTTACAAATTTGTAATCTCCTTGTGGAAAAACGGGAAAACACATCTCAGCCTAATAAGATTTATCTACTAAAGAGTCTAGACTTGATCCATTTGTCCTTGTAATTCAAAAGCTAATTCAAATACTGATTTGATGTATTGTGTGAACAACCATTGCTGATTATCATCGCATACCTGGCATTCTCTTGTATCTGATATCTAAAATATTTGGTAATTCCTGGACTTTCTGTTTTCAAACCCAGTACGGTTTAATTTGAGTCTTAGAACAGTTGTCTTTGAGAAATTCTTCCCTCTACTGCATCTGAGAATGGGCATAGCATGGTTACATACATACTGTCACTCCATAGAACATTTGTTAAATTAAAGCCAAAGTTTAAAGCAAGAGCTTTAACTTACTGGTTTCACTAATGTTTTCCTCCCCAATAGCCACAACAATATTGATACACTCACACCTTTTAACATAAAGCTTGGTGTTGTCTATTTTTCAGTTGCTGTCATCTATATGATCTCAGTATTTTAAAAATCAGCTTCCAGCCCATATGGTGGTTCATGCTTGTAATACCAGCAGTTGAAGAGGCTGAAATGAGAGGGTTCCTTGAGCCCAGGAGTTCACAAGAAACCTGGACAATATAGCAAGACCCAGTCTCTATCAAAAGTAAAAAAAAAGTGGGCATGGTGATATGCACCTGTTGTCCTAGCTATTTGGGAGGCCAAGGTGGAAGGATTGCTTGAGCTTGGGAGGCTGTGGCTGCAGTGAGCAGTGATTGCACCACTGCACTCCAGCCTGGGCAAAAAAGCAAGACCCTATCTCAAAAAATATATATAATAAAAATAAAAATCTGCTCTCATTGATTTCTATGTAAATATGCACAGGTGATGTCCATATAGACATAAATAATAATATTTCTGACAATGGGTCCATATGATCTTCAAAATGTAAAATGCCTTTCTGTGTAATTGACTGGTTAGTCTCATTAATGAATACAGATTCAATTCTACTTCTTTGTTGTAGATAAATTATATAATCTAGGTTTCATTTCACTTATTTACTGATAAAAACAGGAAGAATGACAAGATATCTATTCTGGAAAATTACTCTGGTAGGAGTAAAGATGAAACAATGATAGAATTGCACGGAAAACTAGAAAAAAGTATGGTCTTCTGATATTCTATCACATCACATACTAAAGGCCTCATAAAACTCAGATATTTTATCTAATAATGTTATTTTCATCATAGGAATGATCAAAGCATGAGACTACACTTGTATTAAATTGTGCTTGTATCACAAGCACAGGTGCTAAAAATGAGGGGAAAACATCCTTACTGATATTTTAAACGTATGTTTTACTTTTCATCAACATGTCCTCAACTTGATATGATGCAGATTGAAGGAAATCACCCATAATTCCATATGAAGAAGGCCTGTGATATTTTATGGGAAAATAAATAGAGGAAATGCTAACAGAAACCCTGTAAAGCATGAAGCTTTATGGAGCAAACACAAATCCAGTGGTGAAAGATACACACTCGAGTTCTGTTTGTTGTCTTGGAACAATACGGTTTAGAGGTGACTGGCGGGTGAGGAGAACATATGTGAGTTCACCAAAGAGAAAAGCTGAATGAGACAATGCCTCTTCCTGACCATATCTCTTACTCAGATAACTATATAATTTATTGTCCAGTAAAGGGTATATTAAAAAATCATATTAAAAGTCATGCAGTGAAGTTGTCCAGGGAAATCAAGGCTTAACAGTCTCACTCTGACAGTAATGAACAGGGGGATTCCCTCAAGATAGACTAGGACATGACCCCACACTGGCAGGTAGTAGTACCAGAAAAGAACGCATGGAAAATCTTTACCTTATGCTTGAGGTAGGGACCAGGCTAAAGTGAAAGCAAGACCTAAAATTCTATCTAAAATAAATCCACAATCGAAGAAAATATGTGGTGTACAGGCATAGAAAGTCTTTACTGGATCATTGAAATAGTAAGATAAATTCAACTTTTTACATTGTTTTCTTTTCCTCCAGTTAGGGCTTGAGGTTTGTCTCTGGAGAGTGATTGTCAATTGCAGCCCTGCCTTTCTGGGGTTCTGGGCAGGGGGTTGTGGATGCTTAACATGTGCCTTTCACAGGACACTTCCTTACCCCAGCAGTGGCCAGGTGTGCATCCCACGACCAGGCCTCCCTCTCACAGAACATCTGTTGAGATTTCCTGGTCTCAACAGATGCCTGGTGACTGTTGCCTGACCTGTGTCCTGTGTATTTCTGACAAGAGCCACTCTCAGAGACCCTGGCCAGGAGGAGAGTTAGGTTCCAGTGTAGGTCAGCTCAGACACATGGAGGCCACAGAACCAAACATGGGAAATCACAGAAGTAGGTTTATTTCTCACAGATCCAGAGAGAAGAGGGTAGCCGAGAAGAGGGTTTAACTGTGTCCCCAGCCAAATCTCTTCTTGAATTCCCACATGTTGTGGGAGGGAACAGGTGGGAAGCAATTGAATCATGGGGGCAGGTCTTTCCCAGGTTGTTCTTCTGATAGTGAATAAGTCTCACAAGATCTGATGGTTTTATAAAGGGGAGTTTCCCTGCACAAGCTCTCTTGTCTTGTCTGCTGTCATGTGAGACGTGCCTTTCAGCTTGCACCATGATTGTGAGGCCTACCCAGCCATGTGGAACTGTGCGTCTATTAAACCTCTTTCTTCTGGAAATTACCCAGTCTCGGGCATGTCTTTACCGGTGGTGTGAAAATGGACTAATACAGTAGCACACCTCATAGGGCTGAACAAAATGGGGAAGATGAGTGGGGAGCAGGAGAGAGAAAAGGGGTCTGTGGGACTCCAGCCTTTATTGGGCCCAGAACATTACCCAAATAAGTTTTCCACGGGGCATTAGTCGGTGGGGTGAGTGCCAGCACGCACATTTCTTGACTCCCGCTGCAACCGAGCAGGTCACTCTGGGTGTGGGGGCTGTCCATGTGCGCTGTGAGGTCTGTGGGGTGAGTCAGGTAGGTTGTATCCAACGGTTCCATAGCTGGTAGTCACCAGGAGGAGGCAACTGTGTAGGGTCAATATCTGGGCCAGCCACACTGAGGAACTGTGAGGGTTAGAACTGGAAATTGTCAAGGGAATCTGAACCCAGCTACCATACGAGAGAGTTCAACTTATGTTCAATGTGAATGCCATAGCAATATTAAAAGGTAAGAATTCGCTCCATACGTGCTTGAGGTAAATAGGAGAAACGTAGAATTTATGTAAACAGTGAGAAGATTGGATGCGATTTCTGTCTCATATTTTAATACTAGCAGCATATTATATATGTCAATCCATCAGGCATTCAGAAATACATGCTTATGAAAATTTTTTCCACCATCAGACAAAAGACAAAGGTAGAAGACATTTGTAACCCTATAAACACTAGCAAATTAAAAACAGAAGGACCTTTATGTCCTAACATATCTGTGTTGTGAAAGGCTGCCCTGTGTAATACGGCATTTCTTAAACATATTTTAAAAATCATAGGTGTCAATATTTTTTAGAAATCCATTTAAATTTTCTCTTGCTATTTTACAATGCCTATTTATTTATTTAGTGGCTCTGCTGATTTTGATGTATATCCTAAACTTTACATTTTCTTTAAAGGATGTTTTATACAACTTTATGTAAAATGTTTCAGTATCTTCACATTCTCTCCCTGTCCTTTTGTTTTGCTCTTATATGGTGGTCTTGAGTCTTTTCTCTGGCTTTTCAAACCTAGTAAGACTAAGACACTAAAGTAACTTTGCCCGCAGTTTGGTAATGCCTTCCAAAGCACATCCTAAGCTCTTGTGCATACAGGGGTCTCCTTTGAGCTCTGTGCTTTTGAGATCCCATATACCAAAATTCCAGTACTCCAAATCAGTACTGCTCAGTTTTAGTGACTAAGTTTAAAAATGTATTTTAATAGCAAGTTAGTTTAGTGCACTCTTGCTTCTTTTTTGACTGCTTGTATACATGTATATTCCTTTAAATGAATCTTGGAATTTATTTAAAAATTTTAAAGTATACTAATGAAACTGTATATTGTTGTGAATTCATAAGTGAATTTGGAAAGAATTTGTCTTTATGATACTAAATCCTTTTTATCCAAGAATCATATGTGTCCTTATATTTATTCCAGTCTATATTTATATCACTGAGTAAAGATATAGAAATTTAGATACATACAGCTGTAGTTATAGATACAAATATAGATATAACATGTTAAATCTATATCTATCCCATATAACATATATACATGGTATATGTGTCTGTGTATATATACATATGATTATGTTATTAAAGAGCTCCCTTAAAATTTTTCTTTTATTTCCCATATAATTTTAGGTCGAGCTTGAATTTTCTTCGTATAAACAAGCAAATATTTATACTAGTTTTAATACTGATGTTTAGACATTGTATCTTATTTTAGCATTGAATATTTTCACAATTATTATAAACATTATCTAATATTAATAATGTACCTGTTAAAAATATTTAAAATTTTACCTTTGAATTATTTTATTGTTGAATTAAAATTCCTTGAATATGATAGTCAATTTCTATTTTATGCTTTCTCTATGCATATGCAAATCCATCTATCCACTTCTCTATCTCTATGTAGTAACACATGAAAATCAGGCCTCTCCTCTTCTAATGGACATACACATTTTTGCATGTAGAATATCAGACTCTTTAGAGCATTTAAAATCTTTAAAGACATGAATATTGCCTTTTAACAAATATATTTTAGCATGTACTGAGAATCCCCCATTTATCTTTAATTTGGGATAATCAATATGATTATTAATATTATTGGATTACCAAATGTGCAAACACACTTTCATCCCCAAGGTGGATATTTTTTTTATTTTTTTTTGCCAATTTCTTGTCTTACTGTTTCAAATATTGTTGGATTTTATTTTTATTTTATTTGGCATTTTAGTATCAACATTTGTAATTGAGATACTCTACATATTTTTTCTTCAATATCTGGTGGGTTTTATAATTACTGCTGTATTGGATTTGTAGTAGACATTCACAAAAATTATTCCTGTATGTTTTATAGCTGTATGAGGGAAACTAATATATTTTACCCCTAAATATATTTCCTTGATATATATCAAAATGGCTATTGAGAATGGCTGGAAATGCAAAGTTAGCTGCAAAGCTGTCTTGGGGAGATTTGCATCGGTAGAGAATCTGCCTTGATGCAGCCAGGCTTTCTCTGAGGTCTGCCCCCTTGTCTGGATCTAGGAAAGTTTAACTGAGAGTCTGAGGTCTCCAAAGGTCTGAAAGAAACATTTTCTGTCTATTCTCTCTGAGGACTGCTCCCAGTGAGGTTCCACCTATGTAATCAGTCCACAGTTGCTAGCGGGTGTCGTTTTCTCACATAACCTTTCTTTTTTTTCCCTGTGATCCAAGACCCCATTATTTTTGTAAACTTCATGTGGTAGATAAGCTTCTGCATGCATCGTGTGTCTGGGTCTTCGTTCTAAGGGCTCCAGTGTACACACATTGCAGAAACCTGTATGCCTTTTCTACTATTTATCTGCCTCCTATTAGTGATTTTCAGGGAAACTTCAGAAGGCAAAAGGGACATTCTCCTTTAGCCCATTCTCAGACAAAATCCCCCAACATTTAACTGATTCCTAATAGCTTAAAATCACTTTGAAAAATCCACATATTTATAACCTTTTCCTCCCTCTATGATTTCTGGTCACCTTGGGTTTTGTTTTTCATTCCGTTTACTTCATCCTCGAAAAGATCTATTTTACGTCTATTTATTCTCATTTATGGACATTGAGAAAAGAAAATAACTTTCATGTGAGAAATGCAAGTCCTTTTAAATAATCAGGCCCAGAGAGATATTCAAATGAGACAGCAGTTCTGTCCTGCTCCTCTCTGAGCTGTGTGTTCATCTAGGCTGCTTGCTGTTGCCACATTAGCTATAAATTAACCAATAACGCCACACCAGTCACTATAATCCACACCCAATAATAGTGTAACAGTGTATAGCCAGTCACTAATAAATGTTATTTCCATAAGCCAATGAGAATTTGTGACAAACCTCTTTGCATCATCCCACTTCTGGACCCTTTTTTGCCTTTAAGAAACGTCTTGTTGCAAAGCTCCAAACGGAGTTCATATCCAAGGATACTTGGGTCTGTTTCTTCCAGGCAGCTGTCCTCATTGTGGCTCAAGTAAACTCTTTGAATTACGTTTTGTGCTTCAGCCTCTTCCACTTAGATTAACAACATGGATTTGTGTCTCCATGTACAGCAATTAAAATGTTTACACTTTTCCCCTCGAGGGCACTGATGTGTTTTCCTGAGCACTTGGAATAGCTACATAGTGTTTCCTGTCTAGATGATGGTTTCTCAACGTTGGTGCTACTTACCTTTAGGACCAGAGGATTCTTTTTTGTGGGAGGCTTCCCTAGCAATGCTAGGTGTTTCGTTTGACCTCTAAATATCACACCTCCACCAGTCTTGACATCCCCTAGACATTGACAAATGTCTCCTGGGGAAAACTCTCCACCAGTTGACAGGCGAAGTTCTGGAAATATTGGAATTGTGAATTGAGATTTTATGTTATCCAAAACAAATATTTTTCTTTGTTTTTAAACATCTACTTCCATCTACTTATCTACTTATTTTTACTTTTATTTGTAACTTAATTCCATCAAGGAGAGAGAGTGCATTTTCTGTTATGCTAAATTTTTGAAGAATGTATTGATTTTTTATGACCTGATATATGGATGATAAGTAGATATTACATGTTTTTATTATCAAATTTCAGGGTGATAATAAAATAAATACTTATAATATTTATATTGTCACTGTATATTAGTTATTTACTTTCTTCACTACAGGAGTTTTTCAACCTGTAGGCTATTTTTCAATTCTAGGTTATCCAGTAGATTTTGAAATGTTATTATTAAATATCTACTTCTCAAGCATTCATCTTTCCAAATGAAACAATCCCAAGCTCTTATAATACACATCATATAAAGGGCAGATTAGTCAATATATGGTTCAGAAATAATTATGTAATATTTATAAGAAAATTAAAAATTTAGATCTTTAACTCAGATAACAATAATCCAAATTAAAATTTGATTTCATTACATAATTTAAAATGACACCAGAGTACTAGTAAAAATTTTATAAAAAAGTTTATGTAATCTTTTTTAGCTGTAGGACTTTATTAGCATAAATTCAAATACAGGAACCAAAGTAAGATTGAGACCTATAGTCAAAGGTTAAAATGTACACATCATAGGGGCATGATTAAACTAATTTAAAGCAGAATAACATGGAAAAATATTGCAAAACATACATTTTACTGAATTAATTGTTAGTATCTAATCATTATGTGAGAACCAAATTAAAAAGTAGCTACACAAGCACACACCCACACACAAGTGCAATATTTTCACATAAACGATGTTCAGCTACACTACAAATCACACCTGTGTTTTCTCCACAGAAAAGATTAAAAATCACAAGAATTTTTATTGTACATATGGAGGTAAAGATACTCAAAATATTACCCTAAAATACATTATTTTTTTGAGATGGAGTTTTGCTTTTATTGCCCAGGCTGGAGTGCAATGGCACAATCTTGGCCCACTGCAACCTCAGCCTCCCAGGGTCAAGTAATTCTCCTAGCTCAGCCTCCCAAGTAGCTGAGATTACAGGCATGCACCACCACACTTGGCTAATATTTTGTATTTAGTAGAGATGGGTTTTCACCATGTTGGTCAGGCTGGTCTCCAACACCTGACTTCTGGTGATCTACCCACTTCAGCCTCCCAAAGTGCTGGGATTACAGGCGTGCGCCTGGCCAGCTTTTTGACATATTTCAAGATGGCTACTCGGAAGACTGGAGGTAGCTTCTTCTACAAGAATAGCTGAAAAGCTGTGTTTGTTGGGGAGATTTGCATTTGTAGAGAAAATCTGCATTGATATAGACAGGCTTTCCCTGAGATACTCCCTGGTCTGGGTTTAGGAAAGATTAACTGAGTCTGCCATGTTTACATTTCTAAAAACCATTTCCTATCTATACTTCCCAAGAGGAGGGCTGCTCCCTGTGAGGTTTCATCCATGTAACAAGACCACCTCTGCTGCCAGGCTCCTCTTTCTTCCTTGTTGTCACCTGTCTTCCACAAAGCCTGATTTACCAACCTACAGCTCTGTGTTTTCTGTAACCTCAAGACAGCATAGGCGTGTTGACTACCTTGCCTTTCCTGGAGTTTTTATATAAAGAGTATATATGTGTATATCTCTTTATAATATACAAATATTTGTATAGATATATTTATATAAATTATGTAAACTCCAAGTGCAGACTTGTGCACATATCTGTAAATCATTTTTTCCTGTTAATTTGTACATTATCAGTTTGTTTTACAGACTCAAATAATTAAAGCTTCAAGGGAAAAATTTAAACTTTCCTATAGAGAAAAGACAAATATATAGGTGACAAATAATATTTAGAGTGTAAGACGCTTTTTAAAGGTATATTTGCAATTTGTGTCAAAACATTTAAATATACATTTTTTATTTTAACTATAAAATTTCAAATAATTTAAGCCAAATACGTAGTATATGCAGAAAATTTAGCAATATATCTATGTAGCACCTTACTGTGCATTACTGTAACCAGCCGTCTAATATAAAGAATTAATTAAGGTAGCCGCTACTTTTCAAATAACGCATTTTTTTCACAGCCCTATTAAATAAGACGAATAACATTTAAACTTTATTTTTAAATTTGCAGAATAGTAGTTTTCAGCAGATGGTTTATTTTAGCAAATTCCATCTTCACATTGTGCTATGATTTTAGGAGATCCAGCTGTTAATGGATAATATTTTACTGCTGAAACTATCATGTGTGATACAATTGCTCATTATGTGCCTTAAAACACAAGCAATATAATTATTTTCAACTTGGAGCAAATTAAAATCTTATCAGCAATTTAAAATCTCTAGAGTCGTCTTCTTCTGGTTAATTATTTTAAACTTGTATTTTTCTCTTTATGTTTTTAGTGAGTTGTCTTATCAAGGAGAATAACTCAAGCTGATTATTCTTTTTTTTCTCTTCCATCCACCTCGCAGGTGTGTTAATAATTTCATTTCTCAGACAATGTTCTTTCATATCCATCTTGCAAGATAAGAGACGTTTTAACATCTTCCATTCGGATGTGATACCAGTAATGGAAAATATTCCAGCTTCATGAATATGGTGATACAAATAGTTATCCGTCTAACCTCTTTCAGTGCCAAGTGTTTACTTTACTCAGTGAGTTACTCAGTTGACTGGAAATTTCTTCTGAAATCACTAATGAGAGGATCAGAGGTCTGGCTGTGGTCTGTACCTCATATGATTCCCAGTGCAGACAGTTGTTTCTATGGAGCACAGACAGTTGAAAGGATTGACTTCCTGCCTAGAATAGTTTCTGCTGTGCTTCTTATCCTTCTTGTGGAGATTTCAGATTATCTGAATTGCTTTTCTATATTAAGAAAAAACGCAACAATTCTCCCACCTGAGAGGAATGTAAACTGTAGCAAGTTAGCAGAACCAATCAGTAAAGTTTTTACATTGTTTGTTGCAAAATGCAGCGCTGGTGTCTCCATCACTAACCTTTTCTACCCCACATTGCTCTTTCTTTGACTGCAATAGGATACCTCTAGGCAAATCTGTATTCTCGAGACAGAGTGCCCTTTTGGTGAGCTATAAGCACACTCAATGGTAGGCTGGAATACTAGCTTTTATCTATGGCGAAATGGAATCATATCAGTGATTTTTTTAAAAAGGAAATTTAACTCTTGCTATGGTTTGAATGCTTGCCCCTTCCAATCTCATGTTAAAATTTGATCCCCAATGTTGCAGGTGGGGCTTACTGGGAGGTGTTTGGTCATGGGGTTGGATCTTCATGAATGGATAATACCCTCCCTTAGAAATCTAAAGCTATCCTCCCTTCACGGTGCCCTCAGGAATGAGTGTACCATTCTTTATTCACCTATAATTCCCCCACCCATCCTTTTTGAGATATTGATTACATGTATGTTACACTGCTGCATATTGTCTGACGTATCAGTGAGTTTCTGGCTTTCTTATTTCAGTTTACCCTTTGTCCTTTAGTTTGTAAAGCTTCTATTTTTTTCTATTAATTTTCTTATGTTAGGGTAAAATCCATTACTTATTCTATCTCATGTAATTTTTATTTCAAATATTTATTTTTCATCTATACATGTCACATTTTTCATTTTATAACTTCTATTTTTCTCCTATGTTCAATTTTCATTTAAGTACCTTGACATATATATGTATTTATCTATATGTATTTATAAAATATATTTAAGTTAAGGACCTTGAAATTTCCTTCTTTTCTGTCATTTATAAATGACTTATTTTTATCCTGTTAATATATATCTTAATTATATATATATATCTTACGGCTTCTTTGCATGTCAGAGTTTTTTTGGGTATGTTGATGTTATGCTATTGAATATCTAGATTTTATTAGGTACCTTTGAACAACGTTGTGGCAGGCAATTCAGTAAATTCAGGATGAGTATTTGTCTGTTGTTGTTTTAAATCTTCTGTTTAAACTTTGTGGAGTTAGTCTAGAGCCATCTGTAATTTGGAGCTAAATGAGCACTGTCACTAGGGCATGAACCTCCAGTGGTCTTTACTGAATATCCTGGAGGTACAGAGGCTATTCCCTTCTCTGATTAGAATTTGGAATATAAAGAGAAAAGAGAAAAATAGAAAGCTATGCATAAACACGTGAATTAAAATGAATTTTATGTGGGCTTTTTCATGAAAATATTCCTAAGGTATTTTATTTTTTTATTGTGGTAAAATACACATAACATAAAATGTACTCTGTTAACCATTTTAAGTGTACAGTTCAGTGGTACTAAATATAGTCATAACATTGTGCAGCCGTCCCTACCATCCATCTCCATAGTTCGTTTCATCTTGTAAAACTGAAACTCTATACCCATTAAACAATACTTCCCCATTTCTTCCTCCCCCAGCTTCTGGCAACCATCATTGTACCATCTGTATAATGCTAATCAAGCATAGTGGCTGTGTTTCTTGCTTCCTCTAGTCCGCAGGTAGCATTCAAATGTAATAAACTACTAATTCATGTCACATCTATTTATTTTCTGCCTTATACCAACCTTGTGGGATTCTCTTAAATACAATATTTTTATACTTACACCTAGACAATACCCACTAGCATCGCCTTCCTAAATCAGGGGAAATTGGGCCTCTGTAAGGTGGAGTAACTTCCTAAGATATAAAACTCAGCATTGAAGTCTGTATACTTCAATATCCTGCCCTCTTCTCATTTGTCTTTACTGCCTTTTATGTATGTGTTAGATGTTCAATAAATTCTCTTTTTTAAACTGAATTTAAGCCGTGGAGCAGTGTTTTGTTGAACAATAAATATGATATAGGACACTCTTCCTCCCTTTCATTTATGATCCTGTTCATGAAAAAGAGAAATTCTTTCATTGTGCTAGAAGCTTAAAATAATGAAAATGCCACTGTCTACATTAAACAGAAACTGCAGGGAGTCAAAGTGAATTGCATGAGACGTAGAAAACAAGTGAGAAAGAAATCTAGTATAATTTGCCCTTTGTGTACCTTTATTATTTAGCCTTTGAGTAAATGATTCCCCCAAATATCTTCCCATCTTAATTCATGTCTATAAAGTAGACATTTATGTCTCACCTTGTCAAGAAGGTCAAACTCTAACATAAACATTTCCCAAAAATGCTTCCTGCTAAAACGTAAGCTCAGTCTGACTAGAAATGCAGCTCACTTCATAAAGATTAATTGGTAGCTAATTTTGCATGCTGTTCTCTGAACTTGAGTGAAACCTGTCCATCAGGCATACAGGGAATGACAGAAAAGGTGACAACAGAAGATGAATGCTATGTCACTAACCTTCAAAGACGACCTGCCTTTTCTTTCAAATTCTTGATATCTTAAGACTTCATTAATTCATTTCTCTTTGCCCTTGGTTCAACATTGTGCTATACCAAAACTCATGTGAAACAATGATCTAATGTAATAAAAATGGCATTTTTCTTTCATGTAAATGCAAGCTAACTGGCATTTTTACAATCCACATATTTCCTTTGTCAGTTTTTCATTCTGTATTGGAAGTAATTGGCAGGTATTTCTGAAGGCATGAAGGTGATTCTGTGTTCATTGTGATCCAAACTATTTTTAGACCTAGGGGCGTTTGTAAAACAATTTGTGCCAGCTGACCAAGGATCACTGTGGCAGAAAGCAGCAAACTTGCATAAGATGTCACTGCCTCATAAGTTGGCTTTGAAAACTAGGGGCTTACTCTATAGTCTTATGAATCAAAGACATTGATAGATGTAGTATAAGATTACAATCATATTTTCCTTTTGACAGTCACATTATAAAGCATGAAGTATTGCAATTAATCTCAATTAGCTGATCACAATTAAAATTAATAATGTTTATTATTGCTGATAAACAATCATGACTCTCCTGTTCTCAAATGTGCAAGTAATTCTTGTAATTTTAATACATATTTGCATATTATTATTAATTGATTTAATCTCATTGGATTTGGTTCATGGATCCAGTTTATTAAAATATTGATAATGGGGTAATGATTTGTCTCCCCATTTCATTTACACTAAAAGACACAATTCGTACAATGGTCTGCAAGCCCATCATGATCTGCCGCATGTTAAACGCCAAAGTTCTTTCATATCTTCACCCTTGATCTTACCAGTGGTCCTGGCCACCTCACTGTCCCCTGGACATGCCAACATGCTGCTGCCTTATGACCAAGACTCCAGTTAATTTCTTGGCTTGGAAAGATAGCCCTCCATATATCCATTGATCAGCTCATTCAACTTCCTCAAGTCTTTACTGAAACCTCACATTCTCGATGAGACCTATTCAGTATTTCAAACTGCCTCCCAGCTGCAACAGTCCAAAACCCCTTAGTCTTCTGTGTATTTTTGAAAGGATTTATTGAGATATAATTTACATAGTGTAGAGTGCACATATTAATGTCTACAAGCCAATGGCTTTTAGTATATACACAGATAAGTGGAGCCATCATCACAATGAATTTTAGAGCATTTTCATCACTTCAAAAAGAAACCCCACCTTCTCTAGCTGTTAACCTCCTATGCACTCATCCCCTACTCAATCCTAAGCAACAACAAATCTGTTTTTTGTCTCTGTAGATCTTCCTATTCTATTTTCATCTAAATAGAATCATACAATAGGTGGCCTTTTGTGCCTGGCTTCTTTCAGTTGGCATAATGCTATCAAGGTTCATATGCGTATTGGTACTTTATTTCTTTTTATAACTGTATAACATTCAATTGCATGGATATAACATTTTGTTTATCCAATAATATTTTGTTGACATTTGAGTTGTGTTCAGCCTTTGGCTATTTTAAATACTGCTGTTAAAATACTTGTGTATAATTTGTGTTTGAACATCTCTTTCCAATACTCTGGGGGTATACCTGGGAATAAATTTCTGGGTCATATGGCAATTCTATGTTTAATATATTTAGAAGCCATCAACCTATTTTCCAAAGTGGCCAGTTCTAGCCACAGAGTATCTCACTGTGGTTTTGATTTGTAGTTGCCTGATGAGTGATGCTGTTGAGTATCTTTTTATGGGATTATTGACCGTTCGTGTATCTTCTTGGGATACACAACTATTCCTATCATTTATCAGTTTTGAGTTGGGATTTTTGTTACTGAGTTAAAACAATTTTTCTATATTCAAGATACATATATAAGCAGACCTATAGATATGTGTTTCTCAAATATTTTCTCACAATTTTTGAGCTGCCTTTTGACTTGATTGGTTGTCTTTTGAAACACCAATCTCTTTAATTTTTAAGAAATTTTAACTATCTAATTTTTATTTTGTTGCTCATGTTTTTGGTGTTACAGCTATTTCTTTGCTAGATCCAAAATCCTGAAGATTTTCCCATATGCTTTATTCTAGCTCTTGCATGTGTGTCTTTAATTCATTTGAGTTAATATTTTTGTATGCTTTGGGGTAAGGGTTTGAATTTATTATTTTGCAAGTGGCGATCCACGTGTACGTTGTTGACCCAGTTTGTTCAAAGACTGTCTCTTCCTCATTGAATTGCACATGGCACCACTGTAAGAATCCATTGACTGTAGATACATACTTTTATATATGGACTCTCAATTCTCTTCCATCAATCTATATTAATTTCCTTCATCAGTATTGTGTTGTCTTGATTACTGATGCTTTGCCGTAAGGTTTGGAGCACGGGGGTGTGAATTTTCCTAATATGTTTTCTTTTATCAAGACTATTTTGGCAATTTTGAGTCCCTTACAATCCCATGTGTATTTTAGAATCAGCTTGTCAGTCTCTAGACAGAAGTCTGTTGGGATACTTGAAGGGATTTCATTAAATCGGTAGTTCACCTTTTAAAGTACTACAATATTAAATCTTCCAATTCATGGGTGGAAGATGTTTGCTAATTATTTAGATATTCTTTAAACAATAATTTTTAATTTTCAGAGTAAAATCTTGTATCACATTTCCCAAATTAATTATTATTTCTTTTTTTGATGCTATTTTAAATTGAAGTGTTTTCTTAATTTCATTTTGGGGTTTTCATTGTAGATGTGTGCAATTGATTTTTGTACATTTATGTTGTATGCTGTAATATTGCTGAAATAATTTACTAGTTCTATCATTCAATGGATTCCTTAAAATTTTCTATATACAAGAATGTTATTTTCAAATAAAGTTTTATTTCTTCCTGTTCAATATGGGTGACTCTTTTTTTTTAGTTGCCGATTTGCCCTGCACAAAATCTTTAGTACAGTGTTGACTAGAAGAGGTCAACGTATATATCCTTTTCTTATCTCTGACCATAGCGGGAAAGCATACTTTAACCTTAAGTTGCATGCTTGCTGTTGGCTTTTCACAGGTGCCATGTATCTGGTGTAGAAAGTTCTCTATTCCTGGTTCATTGAGTTTTTATTTTTATTTGTAATCATTAAAGCATTTGGATTTTGTTAAATGTCTTTTCTGAATCTATCGACATGATCATGCAATTCTCGTTTCTTATTCTATGGATAAGATGGATTACCTTAATGGATTTTGGGCTGTTAAACCAACCTGAGATTACTAGTATAAATTTCACTTTGTCATAGTGTATAATTCTTTTATATGTTGCTAGATCTGATTTGTTAGTATTTTTTAAGGAATTTTGCATTTATACTTATAGTAGTTTTATTTTTCTATGCTATTTGGACTAATTTTTGTATCAAGGTAACACTGGCCTCACAGAATAAATTGGGAAATGAATATTTCTCTTTTTAGAAAAAGTCAGTCAGGAATTAATATCAACTAGTCAACCCTAACCAATATGATTACTATTATAAATTATTAATTTCTCTAATTTTTATTTTCTTCCTTCTGCTTGCTTTAGGTTTAGTTTGCTATTCTTTCCAGTGCCTTAATGTGGAAGGTCATATTATCTCCTCCTTTCGTTTGTCTTTTCATTTTCGAAATAGTGTCTTTTTAGCATCAGGTGAGCTCCCCAGGTTGGTAGTACTCCATGTTTATTGCTGTACAACAATGACAGGTAATATGTCCTGAAGACAATGGAAACTTAACATTCAAAATCCTCCTAGATTCCACCTTATGTGATATGTCTCTTCCTTTGATTGGTCCTCATTTCTACCCTTTCTCTCTTATAAACCATGAGTACAATGGCATTCAATGAGTTCTGTGAGTCTTTTTAGTAAATTCTTAAAACTGAGGGTGTTCTGGGGAAACCCCTGAACTGGCAGTTGGTGAAAACAGTGCGAATCATCTTATATGGCCTCTTTCATTGAACTTTGCAGCTGGACCCAAACTCTGCACAATTTGAGCCAAAAGTCTCGTGTTGACTTTGCAGCCTAAATTATCTTGTAGTTTGTATAACCCTCAATAAATTTGCTTTCCTCAAATATTGTATTGGTTACCCAAAAATTACTATCATGTTTCTTTTCTCCAAATAACTAACATTGGGAGAAATAGCCAGCTGAATCTGTAACTCAACAGAAACAAGTGATCCATATACCATATAAGTGGCCATTTCATTTTGCCTTCTTCCACCAAATCTTAGCAACCTCAACCATTGCCATGAGCCACTGTAGGCCTACCATCTACAAACAAACAAGTATCTTTTAAAAACACTTCATACTCCCATTTGATAAATTTCCCAGCAAAGAGATGCTTACTTTAACTCTATGCAAGTGGCTCATATCCGCAAATCTGGAGATATTATTCATGTAGTGTGAGAAAATCATCCCAACGATGCCAGCACATTCTCCTTCCCATGATCTGCTTAATTTGCAAACATATTCAGGCCATAGGTGAGAGATTTGTATTTCACAGTACAACAATTATATGTAGGTCATTGAAACTTAGATTGAGCATTTTAGTACAGTCACACATCACTGAATGTTAGGGATACGTTCTAACAGATGCATCCATAGGCAATTTCATCATTTTGCAAACGTCAGAGAGAATATTACAAACACCTAGTTTGTACAGCCTACCACGTTTAGGTTATATGGTATAACCTCTCTCTCCTAGGCTACAAACCTGTGTACTACACTACTATACTGAATACTGCAGGCAATAAGAACACAGTGGTAAGAGTTTATGTATGTAAACATACTTAAACATAGAAAAGTATGTAAAAATATGTATTATAATCTCATGGGACCACTTTTGTATATGTAATCCATCTTTGACTGAAATAATATTATGCATGACATGACCCTATGACAAAAATAATACATTTTTTAAAAAGTACACATGTAACAAACATATTATTATAAAAATAAAAACATTTATTTAGTGTAAGAATTTGTAATGATCACAGCTTATATTTAAGTACAGCTTCAAATGCCTAGTGCAATTACTATTTATTTCTTTGTGTATTTTAAACATGTATATAATAAATATTTTTCAGGTTCAACAATATATATCAATCCTACAGGTTCTTATAAATATTAATTAAAATCAGTTGGTAAATTCATGTATATGTATGCATACCTGTATCAGTGAGCGTGTGTGCATGTATGTTTGTGTAAATGTAATTGTATGTGTGTGTAAATGTAATTGGATTCATCCTTATATTTACCCTTACCTACAAGATTTCCAAGATTCATTTATGATCTTTAGATGATGGGCATTTAAAGATTTACCAAATACGACTGTAATAGTGGAAAATATCAAGATGTTATTAAATTCATCTTGTGCACATAATTGTTTCTATAAATTTATGTTTCTTGCAAAACTTGCAGTAATGCTCATGCACAAAATAATTTTCTAAATAAAAATAAAAACGTTTTCTCAGTCATTAATTCTTAAAATTATTTCTCCCCAATAATTAATGTGAATTAATTCTTAATTCTTAATTATAGAATAATGTTGCCCTTCAGAGTTCGGAAATTTTTACATGTTGTACACATTTCACTAACCAGAACATCTTCTGGAATATTGGCATTAATTAATGTCACTCAGCAATTATTGATTTCAAAGGCATTAAATACCATTCATATTCTGAATCACAAGGGTATTTTGGCATTTTATTTAATCAAGCTCTTTGTATCATCATCTACACTTTAATTACTTAACAAACATTTCTCTGTGTGAGAAAGATTGAGCAGCTTATTTTGCTTTTTTAAGATGCAACTTTTGCTTAATCTAGAGATAGGCAATGCTCCCTATAAGGGACAAGGAGAAAAATGAAAGAGCAATAGAGATGTGACAGGCAAGGAAAAAGACACTACATTTGTCAAACAAATAAGGCCACGGATGACGATAATGGGGATGAAATCTTGAGATACTGACTCAGTTTATAAGTGCACTGTATAATAGAGCAAATCATTTGTTAACTTTTTTACAAATGGAATTTAATTTAATTAAGATGAATACAGTGTTTTAAACAAGGCAGGTCATCTTAAAATAAAATAGTGGAATAAAGTGATAAAACCAATGTAAAAATCGTAAACATTTTATAAAGAATTTTTGTCATGTAATTTAATATTTTTGTTCATTTTAAATCACCCAAATCAAAATAATTTTATCTTAATTAACAAATAATCATCAGAAGTTTAACTAATTTTTACTTTATAATACTAGGTTTAAAAATTCTTAACTATATTTTTAATCACATATGCTTATATATAAAATACACATAGGATATATATTTACATGTTCACAATATTATATTGTAATTGCTCCTATGGATGTGGTTTTTCCATAGAATTAATAAGTACTTTTAAAAAGTTTCAATTTCAGTGATGTATATGATTGATTTTTCTTAGACAAAGCATACATATATTGATAGGTAATAATATGAAAATCTTCTAAAGGCATTACAGGAACAGGAAAATGTAATTAAATACTCACTAATTTGTAACATTTTATGTAAGCGGAACACATTTAACTGAAAATTGCTTTTACATAATACTCAAACGAGACTAAAAACTTTTTAACCAGCGTAGTAAGTCTTCAAATTGATAATCTGAACTATATAAGAGGAGAAACTTCAGGCACTCAAATATTTGAAATGCTACAAAATATTTATATACACTATTATTTCACAATTTCTGTTTGTAAAGTGCTATACAGTAATCAATATAAATTACATCCCAAGTCTTTCTATAGCTTTGACCACATTTACATCTTAATTTTAATTATTAATATGTTGGAGCAGTGCATACAACTAGATTCCAATCTTCCTTTTTAATGAGTAAAAATATGTCCTTTGAGACAGCATTAAAGAAAGAGCACCTTGTATAAATTCAATGTCAAGAGACAAGATATTCTTGATTCTGAAGTCTTGTTCTTTTATACAGCAATGTAATTAATAAGAAGAAAAGCAGGACATAGATGTGGAGTCTATTTTAATCAAAAATTGTCTTTAGATTTTGATAATAAAATTTAAAAATCTACTATATTTAGTTAGTTACAAAAAACTAGGTTGTGGGAACATATTTCGTCAATAAAACGCCCCTACCAAGTGCTGACAAGAAAAAAAGTTAGGTACCACCTTTCTTCTCTGCAGATGGCCTGAGATGGGTTAATTTTGCTTCCAAACCTGAGGTGACCCCCGAGAACATCATAATCCACTGCTGTCTCCCACATTCAGTTTCTCAGTTTGTGCTCTTTTAATTTTACGAAGAGGGAAGCCAGCCCTTTAAACCAATCTTCAGCATGATGGCAGAGCCAAGGAGTGTGGACAGGTGGCACGGTGTCTGACTTTGTTCCAGCAGCCACTGGGGCTTTCTCTGGATCTTCTCTGCTCTAGGGATAGCACCACTATTGAAAACATATCTTTGTGACATTCTCTATGCCAGGAACTCCCAACACATTTTCCTTGAAACTGATGAAATGAATAAAAATAAACCGAGAGATGTGCTGTTTGTTTCTTTTTCCTCCTTTCTGCAGCCCTTCTTGATTATCTAATATTTTAAGTACATTGTCAATCACCAAAAGGAGCATAAGGGGTATATTGATTTGTAGCAGATGTATTAATAGCCCAGCCCCTATTCCTTACCTGTAGCTGCTGGGAAGAAAACCATTCTTAACACTCTACAGGGTCTCATCTCCAGAATTTGCAGCAGTTTCTAGCTGAGGACTTTCTCTAGCAGCACGGGAGCTTGATACTGGGCATGAAGTGGGAAGAAAAGGTGAGGGTAACTAAGAAGAATCTCCCTGGATTCAGTGATGTAATTCTGAGGCATGTTCCACATAGCTTCCCATAAAATTAAGCCTAGATATCTAACACAGGAACTTGCCTCTTAACACGTGTGGTACTGGCTTTTCTATCTTTCCTGTTTTATTTTGTTCTCTCTTCCTTGTCTCACTTTCGCTGTGTCCTCACTCCTGCTTTAAGAATACCCAAACAAATACATTCATTTATTGTTTTAGACTCTCAGAACATAGTTGATAGTTGAACTTGTAATCTATGATAATCAGCTTGGATGCTATACTGACAGGAAGATAGTGAACTCACAATGTCTAATTAAGATAAAATTAAAAAGTATATTGATTCATGTCCAAAGATTTAAAAAACCTAAGTGGCAGTGTCACAATTTCTTCTTTTTAGTTTACATCGTTTTTTAAATGCCTACAATTGCTTTAAAGGAAGCCTTGAATCTAGCAAAAATTGAGACATATGGAAAAATTTACTAACCCATTTCTCCTTGAAATCCATTAGATGCTTGATTATTTTTCACGTATATTTCTGAATTGAAAAGCTAGTTGGGAATTATTTTTATAAGCATATCCTTATGTAATATTTTGTTTTTAACAGTGAATTGAAGGTTTAAAGATAAAATTATTCTATCCAGAGAATAAAAAGCAAATATTTCACAAGGAGAACATGTGTATGTTGACACGACATTTTAAAGTCTAGATTTTAAAATAGGTCCCATATACTTTTGTGTCAATTAGAATATGTTTGCATCAGTCTGTCTACAGTTTTACACCTGTCTAAATGTACTTGAACTACAACAACTACCTTGAACAATTTTGAAATTTATGATTCCTCTGAAACTGCTTAAAAGAATTATGGTAGAGTGAAATTCTGATTGACATAATTAGGAGAGAAATTATTCCTTGGAGATCAACCTCTGCCAAGATAGTTCATAATGACATTGAGACTTTTTGAATAACACAATTTGTTATATAAAAAATACTGAGACGATGACAGATAATACACAGAATTTAATTAAAATAGTACTGCAATTAAAATTCTAAATAAATTAGAATTGTACATGGTACATCTAAATGAATGTTTATTTATTTTACTTGTGCATTTTTTTTCCTAGCGTTTCTTTTGCTTTAGTTTGTAAAACGTTCTTATTTTTATGATAATGTAGCATATACTAAATAAAGAAAAATCAGGAAATAGAAAATGAAGAAGAAAACATTAGCTATTGTCAACCAAATAAAAATTGTGCAATCTCTAAGCACATGAACTATGTAATATTTGTACAACATAGTACAATGTTTATGCTTCACAGGGTGAGGTAGAGACTGCAAAACCTTGAACTTGGGACAAATAAGAAAGTAAGAAAATTTTCACAACTTATTATTATAGAAAATGCTGAACTTAACAGTTAAGATACAAGTAGTTAAAAATGATTGTATTTAAGGAGATCTAGAAAATTTAATCTATACCTGTAATGTGTGAGAAGTATTAGAATAGTGCTTGTATTTCTGGATTGGCATCGATTTCTATTGAGACTGGAAACATAATAGAAGTGAGCAAAAAAGAATTTAAATTGTGGATACTTGAGTTTTATACCTAGGATTTCAAGAAATACATTTTGTTACTATCAAAGCAGTTGGCACAAACGTGTACAAAATTCCCTAATTGTGTCTATGTGGAGAAGACATAGACAAACAGAGAATAGCAAAACAGAAATAGCAAAAAAGCAGAAATAAATTTTACCTGTATTTTTAAGTAAAAGCCAATTAGAGAAGGAAAACATGAAATTTGTGTTTTATCAAAATTTTTCTCTTTCTCATAATATAGTTGAATATATTACTGGAAAAAATTTGAAGCACTGGTATGTTCACAACTAAAAGTAAATTATAAGGTCAAAACCATTGGAATGCAGGGAGCAGACGAAATATAACTAAACACCGAAACCGATTTTGCCCTACAGACATGTAGCAAAATGAATGAGTACAGATTCCTACTGTCATACATCACATAGGACAGTAAAGAAATACATAGTTTTTCCCAAGATAGGGCATCACACAGGAGCTCCTCCCTAAAGCTAGGACCAAAATTTATATCCTCAGTATAAAGAAGAATTAGAGGAAAATTAGTCCCATTTCACATTCCCTGGAAATGGCAAATAAAAATGACTTGAGATTGGACAGATTTAAAGAAACTCAATCGTTTATGATTTACAGCAACTAATTTAAAATTGTTTAAATGTGCAGTCCAAACATAGGTCTGAACACCTTTAGGCCAAGAATTAACATAATGTGGTCCCAGAAAGGTGGTGCCTTTAGTAGAATCAGAAAAAAATTCAAATTCTCTTTGGCAATTTTCTATTTACTAATCTGCAAAAGGGCACAAAAATAATTTTCAGAGAAAAATAAATATTTGTCATTCAAAGGCATCTAAGTATGCAAGAAAATGATATTCCACCATTTGAAAGGAAAGCAGAAAAAGAGTATAAACAGATCCACAAAGGTTCATTTGTAGAAATATCACTGTTAGATTATAAAGCACATTTGCTTTCAAATATTTTTAAAAAATGAATATATTGTTAGAAGAGTAAAAATTTCATGTAGCAAATTTGAAAAGTAGTTTGTATAAAAATATAGTTATTTTAAATTAAAAACTCAAAAATGTACTCATCAGATTAGACATGGCCAAGGTGAGAGTTCATAAATATTTCAGAATGCATTACAGAAAATTTTTAAAAATGTAAAATGTGGACAGAATGATGAAGAGACATGGAAGATACAGTGAGAAAGTGTAGCAAGTGTTTAGAGAGTGCTCTCATAGAAGAAGGGAACTGGGAAGGGACAATATGTGATGGTATTTTGGCTGAAATTTCCGTAGACTTTTGTAAGACACTAATCTGCATATTCAGAAATTCCATGCTTGCTAAGCAAGCTACAATGGAGATAAACCTACACCTATGTATCTCCTAGAGAAACAGTAAACAACGAGGAAGGGAAAAATATTTCAATTAGCACTAGAAAAATGAAATTTCTTTTAATCATATTGAAATCTGAAAAAAATGAAAGGTAAAATAAACAATATTATTTTTTAAGAATAATAATGCCATTCTGAATTTCTAAACGAAGAAAAATATTCATCAACCTATGGCTAAATAACACATTTAGAGTTAAAAAACAAAACGCCTCCAGCAGAATTCCACTGAAGAAACTACAGAGAAACTCTGAAAATGGGCTTCAGAAAGGTTGAAGTTCTGAAATCAAAGAATGAACAGAGAGTAAAATATATTGCAAACATACAGATAAAACAAATAAGAAACTGGGTTTTGAAACAAAAATATATTTAAAATTAGATAAGCACTGCAATATGTATGATAAAAAGAAAATTATTAGGGCTGAAGTATTCAAAGAACGCTTAATTGTCTGACAAGAGCAGAAAAGTGAGTATGACTTTGCAACTCTTTTTCTTTTTCGAATGGAATGGAATAGAATGGAATGGAATGCAATTGAATGGAATTGAATGGAGAGGAATGGAATGGGAGATGAGATTGTGCCATTGTGCTACAGGATGGGTGACAGAGTGAGACACTCTTGAAAGAAAGGAATGGAATGGAAAGCAGTGGAATAGAATGGAATGGAATGCAATGGAGTGGAGTGGAGAGAAGAGGAGTGGAATGGAGTGGAATGGAATCGGATGTAATGGAATGTAGTGGAATGGAATGGAATGGAATGGAATGGAATCATCATCGAATGGAATAGAATGGAATTATCATCCAATGGAATCAAACGGAATCATGATCGAATGGAATCAAATGGAGTCATCATAGAAAGGAATCGAAAGGCATCATCATGCAATGGACTTGAATGGAATCATCATCGAAAGGACTCGAAAAGAGTAATCATCGAATGGAATCAAATGGAATCATCATTGAATGGAAGCAAATGGAATCAACATCGAATGGAATCGAATGGAATCATCATTGAAGGGAATCGAATGGAATCATCATTGACTGGAATGGAATGGAATCATCATCAAATGGAATAGAATGGAATTATCATCGAATGGAATCATACGGAATCATCATCAAATGGAATCGAATGGAGTCACCATCGAATGGAATCAAAAGGCATCATCATGCAATGGACTTGAATGGAATCATCATTGAATGGACTCGAAAGGAATCATCATTGAATGGAATCAAATGGAATCATCATTGAATGGAAGCGAATGGAATCATCATCGAATGGAATTGAATGGAATCATCATTGAATGGAATCGAATGGAATCATCATCAAATGGAATCTAATGTAACCATCATCAAATGTAATCGAATGGAATCATCATTGAATGGAATCGAATGCAATCATCAACAAATGTAATCGAATGGAATCATCGAATGGAATCTAAAGGAATCATCATCAAACGGAACAGAATGGAATCATCATTAAATGGAACTGAACAGAGTAATCATCAAATGGAATAAAATGGACTCTTGATCGAATGGAATCGAATGGAATCATCATTGAATGGAATCGAATGGAATCATCATCGAATGGAATAAAACGGAATCATTGTATTGAATCGAATGGAAAGATCATCGAATGGATTCAAAGGGAATCATCGGATGGGATCAAACGGAATCATCGAAGGGAATCAAATAGAATCATCGAATGCATTCGGATGGAATCATCAGCGAATGGAATTGAATGGAATCATGGAATGGACTTGAATGGAATCATCATTAAATGGAAACCAACGGAATCACCGAATGAACACGAATGGAATCATCATTGAATGGAATTGAACGGAATCATCGAATGGCATCGAATGGAATCATCATCGAATGGAATCTAATGGAATCTTCTAATGGACTCGAATGGAATAATCAAATGGGCTTGAGTGGAACCATCATCAAGTGGAATCAAATGGAATCATCTAATGGATTCGAATGGAATCATCATCAAATGGAAGTGAATGGAATCATCATCAAATGGAATCGAATGGAATCATCATTGAATGGAATCGAATGGAATCATCATCAAATGTAATCGAATAGAATCATCATTGAATGGAATCGAATGAAATCATCGAATGGAATAGAATGGACTCATCTTCGAATGGAATCAAATAGAATGATTGAATGCAATCAAACGGAATCATCATTAAATGGAAACGAAGGGAATCATCATCGAATGGAATTGAATAGAATCATCATTGAATGGAATGGAATGGAATCATCGAATGGACACCAATGGAACCATCATCAAATGGAATTGAACGGAATATTCGAATGGACACAAATGGAATCATCATTGATTGCAATCGAATGGAATCATCATCGAATGGAATTGAATGGAATCAACATCGAATGGAATTGAATGGAATCCTCGAATGCAATAGAATTGAATTATCACCGAATGGAATCAAATAGAATCGTCAAATGAAATGGAATTGAGTCATCATTGAATGGAATCGAATGAAATAATCAACAAATGGAATCAAATGGAATCGTCATCTAATGGAAATGAATGGAATCATCAACGAATGAAATCGAAAGGAATCATCATTAAAAGGAGTCGAATGGAATCATCAATGAATGGAAACAAATGGAATCATCGAATGGAATAAAATGTAATCATCATCGAATAGAACCCAATGGAATCATTAAATGGACTCGAATGGAATCATCGATTTGACTCAAATGGAATCATCATCGAATGGAACAGAATGGAATCATCGAATGTAATTGAACAGAATCATCATCGAATGAAATAAAATGGAATCATCGAATGGACTCGAATGGAATCATCATCAAATGGAATTGAATGGAATCATCTAATGGACACGAATGGAATCAGCATTGAATGGAATCAAATAGAATCATCATCAAATGGAATTGAATAGAATCATCATCAAATGGAATTCAATGGAGTCATCAAATGGAATAGAAGGGAATCATAGAATGGAATCAAATAGAATCATCGAATGAAATCAAATGGAATCATCATCGAATGGAATCGAATGGAATCATCATCAAATTGAATCGAATGGAATCATCATCGAATGGAATTGAATGGAATCATCAATGAATGGAATCGAATGGAGTCACCAAATGGAATCTGTTGGAATCATCATCGAATGGAACTTAATGCAGTCATCATCGAATGGAATCAAATGGAATCATCGAATGGACTCGAATGGAATCATCGAATGCACACAAAAGCAATAATCATCAAATGGAATCTAATGGAATCATCAAATGGAATAAAATGGAATCATCATTGAACGGACTCCAATGGAAATATTGAATGGAATCGAATGGAATCATAATCAACTGGAATTGAATGGAATCATCGAATGGACTCGAATGAAATCATCGGAGAATGGAATTGAATGGAATAAACGAATGGACTCGAATGGAATCAACTTTGAATGGAATCGAAGGGAATCATCGAATGGAAATGAATGCAATCATCAGGGAATGGAATGGAATGGAATCATCATCGACTGGAATTGAATGGAATCATTGAATGCACTCGAGAGGAATCATCGAAGAATGGAATCAAATGCAATTATCAAATGGACTAGAAATTAATCAACTTTCAATGGAATCGAATGGAATAATCGAATGGACTCGAATGCTATCATCGAATGGACTCAAATGCAATCATCATCGTATGGAATTGAATGGAATCATTGAATGGACACGAATGGAATTATCACCGAATGGAATTGAATGGAACCATCGAATGGACTCGAATGGAATCATCATGGAATGGAATCGAATGGAATCATCATCTAATGGAATCAAATAGTATCATTATAGAATGAAATAGAATGGAATCATCATCCAATGGAATCAAATGGAATCATCTTCGAATGGAATCATAATCGAATTGAATCTAATGAAATCAACATTGAATGGAATCCAAAGGAATCACTGAATTAAATTGAATGGAATGATCATTGAATGGAATCGAAGGGAATCATAGAATGGGATCAAACGGAATCATTGATGGTAATTCAATGGAATCATCGAATGGATTCAAAGGGAATCATCATCGAATGGAATTGAATGGAATCATGGAATGGACACGAATTGAATCATCATCAAATGGAATCGAATGCAATCATCGAATGGACACGAGTGGAATCATCCTTGAATGGAATCGAATGGAATCATCGAATGGCATCAAATGGAATCATCATCGAATGGAATCTAACGGAAACATAGAATGGACACGAATGGAATCATTGAATGGACTTAAGTGGACTCATCATCAAATGGAATCGAATGGAATCATCAAATGGACTCGAATGTAATCAACTTTGAATGGAAACGAAGGGAATCATCGAATGGAAAAGAATGCAATCATCAGGGAATGGAATCGAATGGAATCATCATCAACTGGAATTGAATGGAATCATTGAATGCAATCGAGAGGAATCATCGGAGAATGGAATCGAATGGAATTATCAAATGGACTAGAATTGAATCAACTTTCAATGGAATCGAATGGAATAATTGAATGGACTGAAATGCTATCATCGAATGGACTCGAATGCAATCATCATTGAATGGAATTGAATGGAATCATCGAATGGACACGAACGGAATCATCATTGAAAGGAATCAAATAGAATCAACATCAAATGGAATCGAATAGAATCATCATCAAATGGAATCGAATGGAGTCATCGAATGGAATAGAAGGGAATCATCATAGAATGGAAACAAATAGAATCATCGAATGAAACCAAATGGAATCATCATCGAATGGAATTGAATGGAATCATCATCAAATGGAATTAATGGAATCATCATTGAATGCAATCAAATGGAATCATCAAATGTAATAGAATGGACTCATCTTTGAATGGAATCGAATGGAACCATCGAATGGACTCGAATGGAATTATCATCAAATGGAATCGAATGGAACCATCAAATGGACTCGAATGGAATCATCATGGAATGGAATCGAATGGAATCATCATCTAATGGAATCAAATAGAATCATTATCGAATGAAATAGAATGGAATCATCATTGAATGGAATCAAATGGAATCATCATCGAATGGAATCATCAACAAATGTAATTGAATGGAATCATCGAAACGAATCATCGAATGGAATCTAATGGAATCATCATCGAATGGAACCAAATAGAATCATCATGAAATAGAACTGAATGGAGTCATCATTGAATTGAATCAAATGGAATCATAATCAAATGAAATAGAATGGAATCATCATCGAATTGAATCTAATGGAATCAACATCAAATGGAATCCAAAGGAATCACTGAATTAAATCGAATGGAATGATCATCGAATGGAATCAAAGGGAATCATAGAATGGGATCGAACAGAATCATTGATGGTAATTGAATGGAATCATCGAATGCATTCTAAGGGAATCATGATCAAATGGAATTGAATGGAATCATGGAATGGACACGAATTGAATCATCATCAAATGGAATCAAATGCAATTATCGAATGGACATGAGTGGAATCATCCTTGAATGGAATCGAATGGAATCATTGAATGGCATCAAATGGAATCATCATCGAGTGGAATCTAACGGAATCACAGAATGGACACGAATGGAGTCATCGAATGGACTTAAGTGGAATCATCATCGAATGGAATCAAATGGAATCATCGAATGGACTCGAATGGAATCATCATCAAATGGAATAGAATGGAATCATCAAATGCAAACGAATGACATCGTCAGCAAATGAAATCAAATGGAATCATCGAATGCACTCGAATGGAATCATCAACGAATGGAATTAAATGGAATCATTGAATTGACTAGAATGTAATCATCATTGAAAAGAATTGAAAGGAATCATCAAATGGACTGGACTGGAATCAATGAATGGACTCGAATGAAATCATCATCGAATGATATCGAATGGAGTCATTGAATTAACTCAAATGGAATAATCATCGAATGGAATCGAATGGAATCATTGAATGGAATCGAATGGAATCATCATTGAATGGGATGGAATGGAGTCGTCATCGAATGGTATCGAATGAAATCATCATCTAATGGAATCTAATGGAATAATAATGTATTGGGAGCGAATGGAATCATCAATGAATGTAATCGAATGGAGAAATCAAATGGAATCCATTCGAATCATCATCGAATGGAACTGAATGCAGTCATCATTGAATGGAATTGAATGGAATCCCCCACTGAATGGAATCCAATGGAATCATCAGCGAATGGAATCAAAAGGAATCATCATGGAATAGAATCGAATGGAATCATCGAATGGAATGGAATGGCATCATCATGGAAAGGAATCAAAGGGAATCATCGAATGGAATCGAAGCGAATCATCGAATGGAAACGAATGGAATCATCATCGAATGGACTCGAATGGAATTATTATCGAATGGAATGGAATGGAATCATCGAATGGACTCGAATGGAATAATCAAATAGACTCCAAATGAATCAACAAATGAAATCAAATGCAATCATCGAATGGACTCGAATGGAATCATCATCAAATGGAATCAGATGGAATCAATGAAGGGACTCGAATGGAATCATCAAAAGGACACGAATAGAATCATCATTGAATGGAATCAAATGGAAACACTGAATGGACTCAAATGGAATCATCAACGAATGGAATCGAATGGGATCATCATCAAATGGAATCGAATGGGAACATCATCAAAAGTAATCCAATGGAATCACCGAATGGACACGAAAGTAATGATAAAACGGACACGAATGGAATCATCAAATTGAATCGAATGGAATCATCAAATGGAATCGAATGGAATCATCGAATGGACTCGAATGGAATTATCGAATGGACTCAAATGGAGTCATCGAACTGACTCTAATGGAATCATCATCAAATGGAATCATCATCAAATGGAATCGAATGGAATCATCAAATGGACTCAAATTGAATCATTGAATGGACTCGAATGAAATCATCGAATGGACTCAAATGGAATAATCATCGAATGGAATCGAATGGAATCCTCAATAGAAATCAAATGGAATCATCAAATGAAATCGAACGGAATCATCATCCAATGGAATTGAATGGAGTCATCAAATGAAATCGAACAGAATCATCATCCAATGGAATCGAATGGAATCGTCAAATGGAATCGAAGCAATCATCATCAAATGGAATCAAATGGAATCATCGAATGGAATCAAATGGAATCATCATCAAGTGGAATCAAGTGGAATCATAGAATGGAATCATTGGCGAATGGAATGGAATGGAATCAATGAATGGAATTGAATGCAATTACCAATGAATGGAATTGAATGGAATCATCCTCGAATGGAATCAAATGGAATCATCGAATGGACTCGAATAGAATCCTTATCGAATGGAATCGTGTGGAATAATCTAATGGGCACGAATAGAATAATCATCAAATGGAATTGAATGGAATAATCTAATTTACTTGAAGGGAATCATTATTGCATGCAATAGAATGGAATCATCGAATGGAATTGAATGGAATCATCATCGTATGGAATTGAGAGGAATCATCAATTGCACTCGAATGTACTCATAAGAGAACGGAATCAAATGGAATCATCAAAGGGATTCGAATGGAATCATCATCGAATGGAATCAAATGGAATCTTCATCAAGTATAATCAAAAGCAATCATCAAATGGATTCGAATAGAATCATCGAATGGACTCGAATGGAATCATCATCGAATTGAATCAAATGGAATCTTCATCAAGTATAATCAAAAGCAATCATCAAATGGATTGAAATAGAATCATCGAATGGACTCAAAAGGAATCATCATCGAATGGAATGAAATGGAATCATCGAATTTACTCGAATGGAAATATCAAGTGAAATTGAAAGGAATCATCAAATGGACTTGAATTTGATCATTGCATGGACTCAAATGGAATCATCGAATGGACTCGAAAGGAATCATCATCGAATGAAATCGAATGGAATCACCGACGAGACACGAATGGAATCATCTTTGAATAGAATTAAATGGAATCACCAAACGGACTCGAATGGAATATCATTGGACGGAATCAAAAGAATCATCGAATGGACTCAAATGGAATTATGGAATGGACACAAATGGAATCATCGAATGGACTCGAATGGAATCATTCCATTGCATTCCATGCGAGTGCATTTGACTCCACTCCATTTGAGTCCATTCCGTTCCATTCGAGTAAATTCCATTCCATTGAATTCGAGTCCATTCCATTCCATGCTATTCCATTTCAGTCCATTCCATTCCATTCCATTCGAGTAAATTCCATTCCATTCTATCCCATTCGAGTAAATTCCATTCCATTCCATTCCAGTCCATTCCATTCCATTCGAGGCCGGTTCGTTCCAGTATATTCCATTCCATTCGTGTCCATTCCATACCATTATATTCCGTTCTATTCACATCCATTCCATTCCATTCCATTAAATTCGAATCCATTCCACTCCTTTCCATTGGAGTCCATTCTATTCCATTCCATTCAACTAGAGTCCATTCCAACTTATTCGAGTCCATACCATTGCATATCATTCGGGTCCATTCCATTCCATTCCATTCAAGTCCATTCCATACCGTTCTGTTACGTTCCATTCCATTCCGTTCTGTTCCATTCCATTCCGTTCCATTCCATTCAAGAACATTCCATTCGGTTCCATTCCATTGCATTCCATTCGAGTCCATTCGACTCCACTCAATTCGAGTCGATTCCGTTCCATTCGAGTCCATTCCTTTCCATTGCATTCAAGTCCATTCCATTCAATGCTATTCCATTTCAGTCCATTCAACTCCATTCCATTCGAGTAAATTCCGTTCCAATCCGTCCCATTCGAGTAAATTCCATTCCATTCCATTCCATTCAATGCCATTCCATTCCATACGAGTCCATTCAAATCCATTCCATTCGAGTCCATTCCATTCCATTCGAGTCCATTCCATTCCATTGCATTTGAGTCCATTCCATTATATGCTATTCCATTTGAGTCCATTATATTCCATTCCATTCCATTCCAAACGCATTACATTCCAGTGCATTCTCTTCTATTAAATTCTTTTCCATTCCATTCCATTCCATTCAATTTGAGCCCAGTCCATTCCATTCCATTCCATTCCATTCGAGTCCATTCTATTCCATTCGATTTGAATCCATTCCATTCCATTCCATTCCATTCCATTCCTTTCCATTCCATGCCATGCCATTCCATTCTTGTCCATTCCATTCAATTCCATTCCATTCAATTTGAGTCCATTCCATTGCATTCCACTGCATTTGAGTCCATTCCATTTAATTCCATTTGAGTCCATTCCACTGTATTCCATCCCAATCCATTTGAGTCCATTCAATTCCATTCCATTCCGTTTGAGTCAATTCATTTCCATTCCGTTTGAGTCCATTCCATTGCATTCCATTCCATTCGAGTCTCTTCCATTTTATTCCATTCAAGTCCATTCCATTCCATTCCACTAGAGTCCATTCCATAAAATTCCATTGTATTCCATTCGAATTCATTCCATTCCATTCCATTCCATTCCATTCATGTCCTTTGCATTCCTTTCACGTCCATTCCTTTCCAATCCTTTCGAGTAAATTCCATTCCATTCATTCTATTCCATTCAAATTCATTCCATTCCATACCATACCATTCCATTCCATTCCATTCCAATCCATTCCATTCCATTCCATTCCAATCCATTCCACTCCATTCCATTCCATTCCATTCCATTCCATTCCATTCGGGTCCATTCCTTTCTATTCCATTGAAATCCTTTCCATTCCATACCATACCATTCAATTCCATTCCATTCCTTTCGGGTCCATTGCTTTCCATTCCATTTGAGTCCATTCCATTCCATTCCTTTCCATTCTAGTCCCTTCCATTCCATTCCATTCCAGTCCATTCCATTCCATTCGGGTCCATTACATTCTATTCCATTCCACTCGACACCACTCCATTCCATTCCATTTGGGTCAATTCCTATCCATTCCATTCGAGTCCATTCCAATAAGTTCCATCCCATTCGATTCCATTGCATTCCTTTCCATTCCATTGCATTAGAGTCCATTATATTCCATTGCATTCCATTCCTTTCGGTTCCATTGCATTCCGTTCCATTCGAGTCCATTCCATTCCATTCCATCCTGTTCGAGGCGATTCTATTCCATTCCATTCCAATCGAGTCCATTCCATTCCATTGGAGTTCATTCCATTCCATTCCATTCAAGTCTATTCCATTCCATTCCATTCCTTTCAACTCCATTCAATTCCTTTCCATACAATTCGAGTACATTCCAGTCCATTCCATTCCATTCCATTCCAATCCTCTCCTTTCCATTCCATTGCATTCCATTCCATTCGTGTGCATTCCATACAATTACATTCCATTCTACACAAATCCATTCAATTCAATTCCATTCCATTCGAATCCATTCCACCTCTTTCCTTTGGAGTCCATTCTATTCCATTGCATTCAACTAGAGTCCATTCCAATTTATTCGATTCCATTGTTTTGCATATCGTTCGAGTCCATTCCATTCCATTCGATTTGATTCCATTCCATTCCATTAAAGTCCATTCCAATCCGTTCCTTTCCATTCCGTTCCCTTCCGTTCTGTTCCATTCCTTTCTGTACCATTCTATTCCAGTATATTCCATTTGGTTCCATTCCATTGCATTCCATTCGAGACCATAAGACTGCACTCCAATCGAGTCCATTCCGATGCATTCGAGACCATTCCATTCCATTGCATTCGAGTCCACTCTATTCCATGCTATTCCATTTCAGTCCATTCCATTCGATTCGAGTAAATTCTGTTCCATTCCATCACATTCGAGTAAATTCCATTCGATTCCATTCCATTCCATCACATTTCATTCCATTATATGCCATGCCATTCCATTCCAGTCCATACAATGCCATTCAATTCCATAAGAATCCATTCAAATCCATTCCATTCAAGTCCACTCGATTCCATTGCATTTGAGTATGTTCCATTCCATGCTATTCCATTTGAGTCAATTCCATTCCATTTGGTTAAATTCCATTCCATTCCAGTCCACACCAAACTCATTACATTCCTGTCCATTCTATTCCATTCCATTATTTTCCATTCCATTCCATTTGAGCCCAGTCCATTCCATTCCACTCCATTCCATTCGAGTCCATTCCATACCATTCCATTCCATTTCATTCCTTCCATTCCGTTCAATTCCATTCCATTCGGGTCCATTCCATTCAATTGCATTTGACTCAATTACATTCCATTCCATTTGAGTCCATTCCATTCCATTCCATTCGGATCCATTCCATTCAACTCCATTTGAGTCAATTCCATTCCATTCCATTTGAGTCCATTCCATTGCATTCCATTGATTCGTTTCCATTCCATTCCATTCCATTCCATTACATTCAATTACATTCCACTCTATTCCATCCCAATCCTTTTGAGACCATTCAATTCCATTCCATTCCACTTCA
>NT_187384.1:54959-57391 GCF_000001405.40 Homo sapiens | reverse complement strand
TCCATTCAAGTCCATTCCGTTCCATTCCATTCCCTTCCATTCCATTCGAGTGCATTCCATTCGGTTCATTTCATTGCATTCCATACGAGTCCATTCTACTCCACTCCATTCGAGTCCATTCCATTCCATTCGAGTCCATTCCATTCTATTGCATTCGAGTCCATTCCATTCCATGCTATTCCATTACAGTCCATTCCAATCCATTCACTTCGAGTAAATTCCATTCCATTCCATCCCATTCGAGTATATTCCATTCCATTCCATTACATTATATTAAGTTCCAATCCATTGCATTCCGTTCCAATCCATTGCATTCCATTCCATTCCATTGCATTCCATTCCATTCCATTGCATTCCATTCCATTCCATTGCATTCCATTCCATTCCATTCCGGTTCATTCCATTCCGTTACATTCTATTCCCTTCGAGTCGATTCAATGCCGTTCCATTCCTTAAGAGACCATTCAAATCCATTCCATTCCATTCCATTCCATTCGCGTCCATTCCATTCCATTTCATTTGAGTTCATTCCATTCCATGCTTTTCCATTTGAGTCCATTCCATTCCATTCCATTCCATTCCAAACTTATTTCATTCCAGTACATTCCATTCCATTCCATCCTTTTCCGTTCCATTCCATTCCATTTTAGCCCATTCCATTCCATTCCATTCCATTCCAGACCATTCCATTCCATACCATTCGTGTCCATTCCATTCTATTCCATTCCACTCGAGTCAATTCCATAGCATTCCATTTGAGTACATTCCATTGCATTCGAGTCCATTCCATACCATTCCATTCGAGTCCATTCCACTGTATTCCATCCTAATGATGTCGAGTCCATTCAATTCCATTCCATTCCATTTGAGTCAATTCCATTCCCTTCCATTTGAGTCCATTCCATTGCATTCTATTCCATTCTAATATCTTCCATTATATTCCATTCAAGTCCATTCCATTTCATTCCATTAGAGTCCATTCCATTAAATTCCCTTGTATTCCTTTCGTGTTCTTTCCATTCCATTCCGTTCCATTCATGTCCATTCCATTCCATTCGACTTCATTCCATTCCAATACTTTTGATTCCATTCCATTCTGTTAATTCAACTCCATTCAAATCCATTCCATTCCATACCATACCATTCCATTCCATTCCATTCCATTCCATTCCATTCCATTCCATTCCATTGGTGTCCATAGCTTTCCATTCCATTCGAGTCCATTCCATTCCATTCGAGTCCATTCCATTCCATTCCATTCCATTCCACTTGAGACCATTCCATTCCATTCCACTCCATTCGTGTCCATTCCTATCCATTCCGTTCGAGTCCATTCCAATATATTCCATTCCATTCAATTCAATTCCATTGCATTCCATCCCATTCCATTCCATTCGGGACCATTACATTCCATTCCTTTCGGTTCCATTACATTCCATTCAATTCGCGTCCATTCCATTCCATTCCATCCCATTCGAGGCCATTCTATTCCATTCCATTCCATTCAAGTCCTTTCCAATGCATTCCATTCTATTCCAGTCCATTCCATTCCATTCCATTCCACTCCATTCCATTCGATTATATTCCATTCGACTCCTTTCCTTTCAAGTCCATTCTTTTACTTTCCATTCAAATCGAGTAAATTCTATTCCATTCCATTCCATTCCGTTCGAGTCCATTCTATTCGAGTCCATTCCATTCCATTCGAGTCGATTTCATTCCATTACATTCCATTCAATTCGTGTCAATTCCATACCATTTCATTCCATTCTATTCAAATCAATTCCATTCCATTCAATTGCATTCGAATCCTTTCCACTCCTTTCCTTTGGAGTCCATTCTATTCCAGTCCACTCAACTAGAGTCCATTCCAATTCATTCGAGTCCATTCCTTTGCATATCATTCTAGTCCATTCCATTCCATTCCATTCCATTCCATTCGAGTCCATTCAATTCCATTTGAGTCCATTCCATTCCATTTCATTCAAGTTCATTCCATTAAATTCCATGCTATTCCAACCAAGTCCATTCCATTCCATTCCATTCAATTCCTCTCTTTTCGAGTCCATTTCATTACATTCCCTTCGAGTCTATACCATTCCATTCTATTCCATTCCACTCCATTCCATTCTATTCCTTTCAGGTCCATTCCATCACTTTCGATTCCATTCATTGTATTCAAGTCCATTCAATTCCATCCCATTGCAATCCATTCCATTCCTTTGCTTTCCATTCAATACCATACCATTCCTTTTGAGTCCACTCCATTTCATTCTATTCCATTCCTCTCCATTCCATTCCACTCCATTCTCTCCAAACAATTTGGTTCCATTCCATTCCATTCCATTCCTTCGAGTCCATTCCATTCTACTCGAGTTCATTCTACTCCATTCCATTAGAGTCCATTCCATTCCATTACATACCATTCGATT
>NT_187384.1:51648-54939 GCF_000001405.40 Homo sapiens | reverse complement strand
TTTCATTCCATTAGAGTCCATTCCATTAAATTCCCTTGTATTCCTTTCGTGTTCTTTCCATTCCATTCCGTTCCATTCATGTCCATTCCATTCCATTCGACTTCATTCCATTCCAATACTTTTGATTCCATTCCATTCTGTTAATTCAACTCCATTCAAATCCATTCCATTCCATACCATACCATTCCATTCCATTCCATTCCATTCCATTCCATTTCATTCCATTCCATTCCATTCCATTCCATTCCATTTCATTCCATTCCATTCCATTCCATTTCATTCCATTCCATTCCATTCCATTCCATTGGTGTCCATAGCTTTCCATTCCATTCGAGTCCATTCCATTCCATTCGAGTCCATTCCATTCCATTCCATTCCATTCCACTTGAGACCATTCCATTCCATTCCACTCCATTCGTGTCCATTCCTATCCATTCCGTTCGAGTCCATTCCAATATATTCCATTCCATTCAATTCAATTCCATTGCATTCCATCCCATTCCATTCCATTCGGGACCATTACATTCCATTCCTTTCGGTTCCATTACATTCCATTCAATTCGCGTCCATTCCATTCCATTCCATCCCATTCGAGGCCATTCTATTCCATTCCATTCCATTCAAGTCCTTTCCAATGCATTCCATTCTATTCCAGTCCATTCCATTCCATTCCATTCCACTCCATTCCATTCGATTATATTCCATTCGACTCCTTTCCTTTCAAGTCCATTCTTTTACTTTCCATTCAAATCGAGTAAATTCTATTCCATTCCATTCCATTCCGTTCGAGTCCATTCTATTCGAGTCCATTCCATTCCATTCGAGTCGATTTCATTCCATTACATTCCATTCAATTCGTGTCAATTCCATACCATTTCATTCCATTCTATTCAAATCAATTCCATTCCATTCAATTGCATTCGAATCCTTTCCACTCCTTTCCTTTGGAGTCCATTCTATTCCAGTCCACTCAACTAGAGTCCATTCCAATTCATTCGAGTCCATTCCTTTGCATATCATTCTAGTCCATTCCATTCCATTCCATTCCATTCCATTCGAGTCCATTCAATTCCATTTGAGTCCATTCCATTCCATTTCATTCAAGTTCATTCCATTAAATTCCATGCTATTCCAACCAAGTCCATTCCATTCCATTCCATTCAATTCCTCTCTTTTCGAGTCCATTTCATTACATTCCCTTCGAGTCTATACCATTCCATTCTATTCCATTCCACTCCATTCCATTCTATTCCTTTCGGGTCCATTCCATCACTTTCGATTCCATTCATTGTATTCAAGTCCATTCAATTCCATCCCATTGCAATCCATTCCATTCCTTTGCTTTCCATTCAATACCATACCATTCCTTTTGAGTCCACTCCATTTCATTCTATTCCATTCCTCTCCATTCCATTCCACTCCATTCTCTCCAAACAATTTGGTTCCATTCCATTCCATTCCATTCCTTCGAGTCCATTCCATTCTACTCGAGTTCATTCTACTCCATTCCATTAGAGTCCATTCCATTCCATTACATATCATTCGATTCGATTCCATTCAATTCCATTCCATTCCATTCCATTTGAGCCCTATCCATTCCTTTCCATTCCATTCCAGAGCATTCCATTTCACGCGTTCCACTCGTGGCCAATCCATTAAATTCCAATCAAGTCAACTCCATTGCTTTCCATTCGATTCCATTCCTTTGCATTCCATTCCATTCCTTTCAAGTCCATTGAATTCCATTACAGTGCATTCTATTCCGTTCATATCATGTCCTTTCCATTTCATTTCATTCCATTTGAGTCTATTCTGGTATATTCCATTCGAGTTCATTCAATTCCATTCCATTCCATTCGAGTCTATTCCTTTCTATTCCATTCGAGTCTTTTCCATTGAATGCGAGTCCATTCCGTTCCGTTCCATTCCGATCCGTACTGTTCCGTTCCATTCCATTCGGCTCCATTCCTTTCCATTCGAATCCTTTCCATTCCATTCCATTGCACTCGAATCAATTCCATTCTGTTCCACTCCATTCAAGTCCATTCCATTTCATTTGAGTCCATTCCAATACATTCCATTCTATTCGAGGCCACTTCATTCCATACCATTCCATTCTATTCCTTTCGGTTCCATTCCATTGTGATCCATTAAATTCCATTCCCTTCTGTTCCGTTCCATTCCATTCTATTTCATTACATTGAGTCCATTCCATTAATTAGAGTCCATTCGGACCCATTCCATTACATTCGAGGCTACTTCATTCCATTCCATTCCATTCCATTCCATTCCATTCCATTCCATTCTTTTTGGGTCCATTCCATTCCATTTCACACGATTCCATTCCATTCAAGTCCTTTTCATTCCATTCCATTCCATTCCATTCAATTCGAGTCTATTCCATTCTAGTCCATTCCATTCCTTTCCACTCGAATCCATCCTATTCCATTCGTGTTCATTCCAGTCCATTTCATTCAAGTCTATTCCATTCTATTCCATGCTATTCCATTCAAGTCCATTCCATTCCATTCCATTCCACTCCATTTAATTCAATTCCACTCTATTTCATTCCATTGGTGTCCATTCCATTCCATTCCTTTCGAGTGCGTTCCATTCCATTCCATTCCATTCCATTCCGTTCCATTCCATTTGGATCCATTCCATTCCACCCCATTCAAATAATTCCGTTCCATTCGTGTCCATTCCATTCCATTCCATTCCATTCTATTCCAGTCGATTCCATTCCATTTCATTCAATTCCATTCCATTTCATTCCATGCTATTCCATTCAAGTCCATTCCATTCCATTCCATTCCATTCCATTCCATTCCACTCTATTCCACTCTTTTCAAGTCCGTTTCATTACATTCCCTTCCAGTCTTTTCCATTCCATTCCATTCCTTTCCACTCCGTTCCATTCCATTGCATTCAGGTACGTTCCCTTCCATTCATTTCGATTAAATTCATTCCAATCAAGTCCATTCAATTGCATTCCATTCCATTCCATTCAATACTATTCCATTCCTTTTGAGTGCATTTCATTTCATTCTATTCTATTCCTCTTCATTCCTTTCTATTGTATTCCAATCCATTCTGTCCATTCCATTTGGGTCCATTCTATTCCTTTCCTTTCGATTCAATTCCATTCTACTCGATTCCATTCCATTCTATTCCTTCTGAGTCCGTTCCATTCCATTACATTACATTCGGGTTGAGTCCATTCAATTCCCTTCCATTCCATTCCATTTGAGCCTATTCCATTCCTTTCTATTCAATTCTATTCCATTCCTT
>NT_187384.1:20204-51628 GCF_000001405.40 Homo sapiens | reverse complement strand
ATTCCATTCTATTACATTCCATTCGAGTCCATTCCATTTCATTCGAGTCCATTCCGATCCATTCAATTCCATTGGAGGCCACTTCATTCCATTCCACTCCATTCCATTGCATTCTTTTCGGGTCCAATCCATTTAAATCAATTCCATTCCGTTCTGTTCCATTCCGTTCCGTTCCATTCCATTCCGTTCAATTCCATTGAGTCCATTCCATTTCATTCGAGTCCATTCCAATCCATTCCATTCCATTCGAGGCCACTTCATCCCATTCCTTTCAAATCCATTCTTTTCGGGTGGATTCCACTGCATTCTATTCCACTCCATTCCATTCGAGTCCTTTATATTCCTTTCCATTCCATTCCATTCCATTCAAGTCCTTTTCATTCCATTCCATTCCTTTCCACTCGAGTCCATCCTATTCCATTCGAGTCCATTCCATTCCATTTCATTCAAGTCCGTTCCATTCCATTTCTTGCTGTTTCATTCAAGTCCATTCCATTCCATTCCATTCCATTGAGTCCATTCCATTTCTTTTGAGTCCATTCCGATCCATTCCATTCCATTAGAGGCCACTTCATTCCATTCCTTTCCATTCCATTCTGTTTGGGTCCATTCCATTCCATTCCATTTCATTCCATTCCATTCCATTTCATTCGATTCCCTTCCATTCCCTTCCTTTCCATTCCATTTATTTCGAGTCCATTCCATTCCATTACATTCAAGTGTTTTCCATTCCATTCCGTTCCATTGCATTCAATTCCATTCCATTCCATTCGGGTCCATTCCATTCCACTCCCTTCCACTCCCCCCATTCCATTCCATTCGTGTCCTTTCCATTCCATTCCATTCCATTCCATGCTATTCCATTCCATTACAATCCATTCAACTCGAGTCCATTCCATTCCATTCAGTTCCATTAAATACCATTCAACCCTTTTCGAATCCATTTCACTACATTGCCTTCGAGTCTATTCCATTCCATTTTATTCCATTCAACTCCATTCCATTCCATTCCATTCGTGTACTTTCCATTCCATTCCTTTCAATTCCATTCATTCCATTCAAGTCCGTTCAATTCCATTCCATTCCATTCCAATGCTTTCCATTCCATTCCATTCAATACCGTTCCAATCCTTTTGAGTCAATTTCATTTCTTTCAATTCCATCCCTCTCCATTCCATCTATTCTATTCTACTACATTCTTTCCATTCGATTCGGGTCCATTCCATTCCATTTTTTTGAGTCCATTCCATTCTACTCGATTCCATTCCATTCCATTTGACTCCATTCCTTTCCATTACATTACATTCGATTCAAGTCCATTCAATTCCATTCAATTTCATTCCATTTGGTCCCAATCTATTCCTTTCCATTCAATTCCAGTCCATTCCATTCCACCCTTTCCATTTGTGGCCACTCCATTCCATTCCATTCCATTCGAGTCAATTCCATTGCATTCCATTTGACTCCATTCCATTTGCACTCCATTCGATTCCTTTTGAGTCCATTGAATTCCATTCCATTCCATTCGGGTCCATTCCATTCAATTTCATTCGAGTCAATTGCATACCATTCCATTTGAGTCCATTCCATTGCATTCAAGTGCATTCCATTCCATTCCATTCTAGTCCGTTGCACTGTATTCCATCCAAATCCTTTCGAGTCCATTCAATTCTATTCCATTCCATGTGAGTCAGTTCCATTCCATTCCATTTGATTCCATTCAATTGCATTCCATTACATTCGAGTCCCTTCCATTCTATACCATTCTAGTCCATTCCATTCAATTCCATTAGAGTCCATTCCAATAAATTCCATTGCATTTCATTCCAATTCATTCCACTTCATTCTGTTCCATTCATGTCCATTCCATTCTATTTGAGTCCATTCCATTCCTCTGCTTTCGAGTCCATTCCATTCCACTCATTCTATTCCATTCAAATCCATTCCATTCCATTCTGTACCATTCCATTCCATTCGGGTCCATTCCTTTCCATTCCATTCCAGTCCATTCCATTCCATTCGAGTCCATTACATTTGATTGCATTCCACACGAGACCATTCCATTCCATTCCATTCGGGTCCCTTCCTATCCATTCCATTCGAGTCCATTCCATTCCATTCCATCCCATTCGAGGCCATTCTATTCCATTACATTCCAGTCAAGTCCTTTCCATTACATTCCAATCTATTCAAGTCCATTCCATTCCATTGTATTTCATTCCATTCCATTCCATTCGAGTCCATTCCATTCCATTCCATTCCTTTCGAGTCCATTCAATTACGTTCCATACAATTCGAGTATATTCCATTCCATTCCAATCCATTTTATTCCTTTCCATTCGAGTCCATTCCATTCCATTCCATTCGAGTCCATTTCATTCCATTCCATTCCATTCCATTCATGTCCATTCCATACCATAACATTCCGTTCTATTCAAATACATTCATTTCCGTTCCATTCCATTCGAATCCATTCCACTCCTTTCCATTGGAATCCATTCTATTCCATTCCATTCAACTGGAGTGCATTCCAGTTCAGTCGAGTCCATTCCATTGCATATTATTTGAGTCCATACTATTCCATTCCATTCCATTCAAGTCCATTCCATTCCGTTCCATTCCATTCCGTTCCGTTCTGTTCCGTTTCATTCCATTCCGTTTCATTCCATTCAAGTAAATTCCATTTGATTCCATTCCATTGCATTCTATTCGAGTCATTCGAATCCAATCTATTCGAGTCCATTCCGTTTCATTCGAGTCCATTCCATTCCATTGCATTCGAGGCCATTCCATTCCATGCTATTCCATTTCAGTCCATTCCCTTCCATTCCATTCGAGTACATTCAGTTCCATTTCATCCCATTCGAGTAAAATATATTCCATTCCATTCCATTCCATTCCATTCCATTCCATTCCATTCCATTGCTTTCCAGCACATTTCATTCCATTACATTCCCTTCCATTAGGGTTTATTCCATTCCGACATATTCCGTTCCCTTCGAGTCCGTTCAATGGCATTCCATTCCAGGCGATTCCATTTCACTCCATTCCATTCCATTCTATTCGAGTCCACTCCATTCCATTCCATTGGAGTTCATTCCATTCCATTCCATTCAAGTCCATTCCATTCCATTCCATTCATTTTGAATCCATTCAATTCCTTTCCTTACTATTCGAGTCCATTCCATTCCAATCCTTTCCATTCCATTCCATTCCTTTCCATTCCATTCCATTCAAGTCCATTCCATTCCATTCCTTTCGACTGCAATTAATTCCATTACTTTCCATGCCATTCGTCTCCATTCCATACCGTTACATTCTGTTCTATTCAAATCCATTCAAATCCATTCCATTACATTCGAATATATTCCAATCCTTTCCGTTGGAGTCCATTCTATTCCATTCCATTCAACTAGAGTCCATTCCAATACATTCGAGTCCATTCCATTGCATATCATTCAAGTCCATTCCATTCAATTCCATTCCATTCCGTTCAAATCCATTCCATTCCGTTTAGTTTCGTTCCGTTCCATTCCACTCCGTTCCAATCCTATCCGGTCCATTCCATTCGAGTACATTCCATTCGGTTCCATTCCATTGCATTCCATTCGAATCCATTCTACCCCACTCCATTCGGGTCCATTCCGTTCCATTCTAGTCCATTCCTTCCATTCCATGCATCGAAGTCCATTGCATTCCATGGTATTCCATTTCATTCCAATCCATTACCTTCCATTCGAGTAAATTCCTTTCCATTCCACCCCATTTGATTAAATTCCATTCCATTCCATTCCATTCCATTCGTGTCCATTCCATTCAATTCCATACGAGTCAATTCCATTCCATTCCATTTGAGTCCATTCAATTCCATTCCATTCCATTTGAGTCAATTCCATGCCACTCCATTTGAGTCCATTCCATTGCATTCCATTCCATTGGAGTCTTTTCCATTGTATTCCATTCATGTCCACTCCATTCCATTTCAAAAGAGTCCATTCCATTAAATTCCATTTTATTCCATTCGTGTTCATTCCATTCCATTATGTTCCATTCATGTCCATTCCATTATATTCCAGTCCATTCCATTCCATTCCATTCGAGTCCATTCCATTCCAATCCTTTCGAGTCCATTCCATTCCATTCATTCTATTCCATTCAAAACCACTCCATTCCATACCATGCCATTCATTTCCATTCCATTCCATTCCATTCCATTCCATTCCATTCCATTCGGGTCGATTCCTTTCCATTCCCTTCGAGTCCATTACACTCCATTTGAGTCCACTATATTCCATTCCATTCCACTCGAGACCATTCCATTCCATTCAATTCGTGTCCATTCCTATCCATTCCATTCGAGTCCATTCCTGTACACTCCATTCCATTCCATTCCATTCCATTCCATTCCATTCCATTCCATTCTATTCGGGTCCATTCCCTTCCAATCCATTCCCTTCCTTTTGATTCCATTACATCCCATTCCATTAGAGTCCATTCCATTCCATTCCATAGCATCCCATTCGAAGCCATTCTATTCCATTCCATTGCATTCCAGTCAAGTCCTTTCCATTACATTCCATTCTATTTGAGTCCATTCCATTCCATTCGAGTCCATTCCATTCCTTTCCATTCCTTTCGTGTCCACTCAATTCTGTTCCATACAATTAGAGTACATTCCATTCCATTCCGTTACATTCCATTCCATTCGTGTCCATTCCATACCATTACATTTCATCCTATTCAAATCCATTCAATTCCTTTCCATTCCATTCGAATCCATTCCAATCCTTTCCATTGGAATCCATTCTATTCCATTCCATTCAAGTAGAGTACATTCCAGTTCATTCGAGTCCATTCCATAGCGTATCATTTGTGTCCATTCCACTCCATTCCATTCCATTCCATTTCATTACAATCCCTTCCATTCTATTCATCTAGAGTCGATTCCAATTCATTTGAGTCCATTCCATAGCATGCCATTCGAGTCCATTCCACTCCATTCCATTCCATTCCATTCCAGAGTCCATTCCATTCCGTTCTGTTCCGTTCCATTCCTTTCCATTCCGTTTCATTCCATTCGAGTACATTCCATTCGCTTCCATTGCATTGCATTCCATTTGAGTCAACTCGACTCCACTCCATTCGAGTCCATTACTTTCCTTTCGAATCCATTCCATTCCATTGCATTTCAGTCCATTCCATTCCATAGAATTCCATTTCAGTCCATTCCATTCCATTCCATTAGAGTAAATTCCATTCCATTCTATCCCATTAAAGTAAATTTCATTCCATTCCATTGCATTCCATTCCATTCTATTCCAGTAGATTCCAATCCATTCAATTCCATTATATTTGGTCCATTCCATTGCATTCCATTCCTTTCGGCTCCAGTACATTCCATTCCATTCGAGTCCATTCCACTCCATTCCATTCCATTTGAGTCCGTTGCAATGCATTCCATTGCATTTGAGTCCTTTCCATTTCATTCCATTCGAGTCCATTTAACTGTATTCCATCCCAATCCTTTGGAGTCCATTCCATTCCATTTGAATCAATTGCATTCCATTTCATTAGCGTCCATTCCATTCTATTCCATTCCATTCGAGTCTCTTCCATTCTATTCCATTCAATTCCATTCCATTCCATTAAATTAGAGTCCATTCCATAAAATTCTATTGTAGTCCATTCGAGTTCATTCCATTCCATTCCATTCATGTCCAATCCGTTCCATTCAAGTCCATTTCATTCCAATCCTTTCGAGTCCATTCTATTCCATTCATTATATTCCATTCAAAAGCATTCCATTCCATACCATACCATTCCCTTCCATTCCATTCCATTCCATTCCATTCCATTCCATTCCATTCCATTCGGGTCCATTCCTTTCCATTCCATTCGAGTCCATTCCATTCGGTTTGAGTCCATTCCATTGCATTCCATTCCACTCTATACCATTCCATTCCATTCCATTTGGGTCTTTTCCTATCCATTCCATTCGAGTCTATTCCAATACATTCTATCCCATTCGATTTCATTCCATTCCATTCCATTCAGGTCCATTCCATTCCGTTCCATTCCATTCCTTTCGGTTCCATTACAATCCATTGCATTCGAGTCCATTCCATTACATTCTATCCCATTCGAAGCCATTACATTCCAGTCAATTCATTCCCATTCCATTCCATTCTGTTCGAGTCCATTCCATTACATTGGAGTTCATTCCATGCCATTCCATTTGAGTCCATTCCATTCCATTCCATTCCTTTCTAGTTCATTCAATTCTGTTCCATACAATTCGAGTACATTCCATTCCTTTCCATTCCATTGCATACCATTCCATTCCGTTTAAGTCCGTTCCTTTCCATTACATTCGAGTCCATTAGTTTCCATTACATTCCTTTCCATTCTTGTCCATTCCATACCACTTCATTTCGTTCTATTAAAATCCATTCACTTCCATTCCATTCCATTCGAATCCATTCCAATTCTTTCCATTGGAATCCATTCTATTCCATTCCATTCAACTAGAGTCCATTCCATTTCATTCGAGTCCGTTCCATTGCATATCATTCGATTCCGTTCCTGTCCATTCCATTCCATTCCATTACATTCGAGTCCATTCCATTCCTTTCCGTTTTCTTCTGTTCCATTCAATTCCATTCCGTTCCATTCCTTTTGAGTACATTCTATTCGGTTCCATTCCATTGCATTCCATTCGAGTCCATTCTACTCCACTCCATTCGTGCCCTTTCCATTCCATTCGAGTTCATTCCATTCCATTGCATTTGAGTCCATTCCATTCCATTCTATTACTTTTCAGTTCATTCCATTCCATTCAAGTAACCTCCATTCCATTCCATCCCATTCGAGTAAATTCCATTCCATTCCATTCCATTCCAGTCCATTCCATTCCGTTCCATTCTGTTCCATTCCATTCCATTCCTTTCCATTCCATTCCATTCCAGTACATTCAAATCGGTTCCATTCCATTGCATTCCATAGGAGTCCATTCGACTCCACTCCATTCGAGTCCATTCCATTCCATTCGAGTCCATTCCATTAAATTGCATTTGAGTCAATTCCATTCAATGCTATTCCATTTCAATCCATTCGAGTAAATTCCATTCCATTCCATCACTTTCAAGTAAATTCCATTCCATTCCAATGCAGTCCGTTCAGTTTCATTCCATTCCGTTCCATTCCGTTCCATTCCATTCCATTCGAATACATTCCATTCGGTTCCATTAAATTGCATTCCATTCTAGTCCATTCGACTCAACTCCCTTCAAGTCCATTCCATTCCATTTGAGTCCATTCCATTCCATTCCATCCCATTCGTGGCCATTCTATTCTATTCCATTCCAGTTGAGTGCTTTCCATTGCATTCCGTTGTATTGGTGTCCATTCCATTCCATTGGAGTTCATTCCATTCCATTCCATTCGAGTCCCTTCCATTCCATTCCAGTCCTTTCTAGTGCATTCAATTCCGTTCCATACTATTTGAGTACTTTCCATTCCATTCGATTCCATTTGAGTCCATTCAATTCCATTCAATTCGAGTCCATTTCATTCCATTACATTCCATTCCATTAGTGTCCATTCCATAACATTATATTCCGTTCTATTGAAATCTATTCAATTCCATTCCATTCCATTCGAATCCATTCCAGTCCTTTCATTGGAGTCCATTCTATTCCATTCCATTCTACTGCAGTCCATTCCAATTCATTCAAGTCCATTCCATTTCAAATTATTCGAGTCTATTCCATTCCATTCCATTCCATTCATATCCATTCCATTCCGCTCCATTCTATTCCGTTCCTTTCCGTTCCATTCCATTCCGTTCCATTCCATTCCATTCCATTCTATTCCTATCCATTCCATTCCATTTAAGTCCATTCCATTCTGTTCCTTTCCTTTCCATTCCATTCTGTTAAGTTCCGTTCCATTCCATTCCATTACATTACATTTGAGTACATTCCATTCTGTTCCATATATTGCATTCCATTCGAGTCCATTCGACTCCACTACATTTGAGTCGATTCCATTCCATTCGAGTCTATTCCATTACATTGCATGCGAGTCCTTTCCATTCCATGCTATTCTATTTCAGTCCATTCCATTCCATTCCATTTGAATAAATTCCATTCCATTCCATGCCATTCGAGTAAATTCCATTCCATTCCACTCCATTGCATTCCATTCCATTCCGTTCCATTCCATTGCATTCCATTCCGTTCCGTTCCATTCCATTGCATTCCATTCCATTCCATTACATTACATTCCAGCACATTTCATTCCATTACATTCCATTCCATTTGGGTTCATTCCTTTCCATTACATTACATTCAATTCGAGTACATTCAATGCCATTCCATTCCAAACGAGTCCATTCATATCCATTCGATTTGAGTCCATTCCATTCCATTCGTGTCCATTGCATTCCATTGCATTTGAGTCAATTCCATTCCATGCTATTCCATTTGAATCCATTCCATTCCATTCCAAACTCATTACATTCCAGTCCATTCTATTCTATTCCATTCTTTTCCATTCCATTACATTCCATGCCATTTGAGCCAAGTCCATTCCATTCTATTCGAGTCCATTCCATTCCATTCCTTTCCAATCCATTCCATTCCATTCCATTCCTTTCCAATCCATTCCATTCCATTCCATTCAGTTCCATTTAATTCAATTCCATTTGGGTCAATTGCATTCCATTCAATTTGGGTTCATTCCTTTGCATTCCATTGCACTAGAGTCCATTGCATTCCATTCCATTCGAGTCCATTCCACTTTATTCTGTCCTAATACTTTCGAGTCCATTCAATTCCATTCCATTCCATTTGAGTCAATTCCATTCCTTTCCATTTGAGTCCACTGCATTCCATTCCATTCCATTCCAGTCTCTTCCATAATATTCCATTCCATTCCATTCTATTCCATTCCATTCGAGTCCATTCCATAGAATTTCACTGTATTCAAATCGAGTTCATTCCATTCCTTTCCGTTCCATTCATGTCCATTCCATTCCATTCGAGTCCTTTCCATTCCAAACATTATGAATCCATTCCATTCCATTCATTCTATTCCATTCAAATCCATTCCATTCCATTCCATACCATAACATTCCAATCTGTTCCATTCGGGTCCATTGCTTTCCATTCCATTCGAGTCCATTCCCATTCCATTCAAGTCCATTACATTCCTTTCCATTCCTCTTGAGACCATTCCATTCCATTCCATTCGTATCCATTCCTATCCATTCCATTTGATTCCATTCCAATACATTCCATCCCATTCGATTCCATTCCATTTGATTCCATTACATTCAATTTGGGTCCATTCCATTCCTTTCCTTTGCATTCCCTTCGGTTCCATTACATTCCACTCCAATCGAGTCGATTCCTTTCCATTCCATAGCATTCGAGGCCATTCTATTCCATTGCATTCCACTCGAGCCTTTTCCATTACATTCCATTCTATTCGAGTCCATTCCCTTCCATTGTAGTTCATTCCATACCATTCCATTCAATACCATTCCGTTCCATTCCATTCCATTCGAATCCATTCATTTCCCTTCCATATAATTTGTGTACATTCCATTCAATTCCATTTCATTCTACACCATTCCATTCGTGTCCATTCCATTCCGTTACTTTCGAGACCATTTCATTCCATTACATTCCATTCCACTCGTGTCCATTCCATTCCATTACGTTCCTTTCTTTTCAAATGCATTCAGTTCCATTCCATTCCATTCAAATCCATTCCACTCCTTTCCTTTGGACTCCATTCTATTCCATTCCATTCAACTAGAGTCTATTCCTATTCATCTGAGTCCATTCCATTGCATATTATTCGACTCCATTCCTTTAAATTCCATTCCATTCCATTCAAGTCCTTTCCGTTCCGTTCCGTTCCATTCCGTTCCATTCCATACGAGTACATGCCATTCTGTTCCATTCCATTGCATTCCATTCGAGTCCATTTGACTCCACTCCATTCGAGTCCATTCCATTCCATTAGAGTCCATTTCATTCTATTGCATTCGAGCCCATTCCATTCCATGCTATTTTGTTTCAGTCCATTCCATTCCATTAGAGTAAATTCCATTCCATTCCAACCCATTCGAGTAAATTCCATTCTATTCCATTCCATTCCATTCCATTCCATTCATTTCCATTCCATTCCAATCTCATTACATTCCATTTGGGTCCATTTCATTCCATTCCATTCCACTCCATTCGTGTCCATTCCATACATTACATTCCATTCTATTCAAATCTTTTCAATTCCATTCCATTCCATTCGAATCCATTCCACGTTTTTCCATTCGAGTCCATTCCATTCCATTCCATTCAACTAGAGTCCATTCCAATTTATTCGAGTCCATTCCATTGTATATCATTCCAGTCCATTCTATACCATTCCATTCCATTCCATTCCATTCCATTCCATTCCATTCGGTTCTGTTCCTTTCCATTCCGTTCCATTCAATTCGAGTACATTCCATTCGGTTCCATTCCATTGCTTTCATTTGGAGTCTATTCGAGTGCATTCGACTCCACTCCATTCGAGTCAATTCAGTTCCATTCGAGTCCATTCCTTTCCATTGCATTCGAGTCCATTTGATTCCCTGCTATTCCACTTCAGTCCACTCCATTCCATTCCATTCGAGTAAATTCCATTCCATTCTATCCCATTAGAGTAAATTCCGTTCCATTCCATTCCATTAGGGTACATTCCATTGAATTCCATTCCAGTCCATTCATTTCCATTCGAGTCAATTCCATTCCATTCCATTTGAGTCCATTCCACTGCATTCCATTGCGTTTGATTCCATTCTATTCCATTGCATTCGAGTCCATTCCACTGTATTCCATCCCAATCCTTTGGAGTCCATTCAATTCCATTCCATTCCATTTGAGTCAATTATATTCCATTCCATTTGAGTCTATTCCATTGCATTCCATTCCATTCGAGTCTCTTCCATTGTATTCCATTCAATTCCATTCCATTCCATTCCACTGAAATCCATTTCTTTAAATTCCATTGTATTGCATTTGAGTTCATTCCATTGCATTCCGTTCCATTCGTTTCCATTCCTTTCAATTCGAGTCCCTTGCATTCCAATCCTCTCGAGCCGATTCCATGCCATTCCTTCTACTCCATTCAAATCCATTCCATTCCATACCATACCATTCCCTTCCATTCCATCCCATTCCATTCCAGCACATTTAAATCCATTACATTCCATTCCATTCCGGTTCATTCCATTCCGTTACATTCTATTCCATTCGAATCCGTTCAATGCCATTCCATTCCATACGAGTCCATTCAAATCCATTTCGTTTGAGTCCATTCCATTCCATTCGAGTTCATTGCATTCCACTGCATTTAAGTCCATACCATTCCATTCCATTCCATTCCACTCCAGTCCATTGCAAACTAATTTCATTCCAGTCCATTCTATTCCATTCTATTTTTCCATTCCATTCCATTCCATTCCATTAGAGTTCATTACACTAAATTCCAATGTATTCTTTTCGAGTCCATTCAATTCTCTTCCATTTGAGTCCACTACATTCCATTCCTTCCCATTCCATTCCATTCCACTCGATTCTATTTCATCCCATTACATTCCATTCCATTCGTGTCCATTCCATACCATTATATTCCGTTCTGCTTGAATCCATTTAATTCCATTCCTTTCCATTCGAATCCATTCCGCTCCTTTCCATTGGAGTCCATTATATTCCATTCCATTAAACTAGAGTCCATTCCAATTCATTGCATTCCATTCCTTTGCATATTATTTGAGTCCGTTCCTTTCCATTCCATTCCATTCCATTCCATTGAATCCCATTCCATTCCATTCTTTTAGGGTCCATTTCATTCAACTCTATTCCATTCCGTTCCTTTCCGTTCTGTTCCATTCCATTCCAGTGAGTCCATTCGATTTCATTCGAGTCCATTCCGATGCATTCCATTCCATTCCATTCGAGGCCACTTCATTCCATTCCGTTCCATTCCATTCCATTCTTTTCAGGTGCATTCCATTCCATTCCATTCCATTCCATTCCATTCCATTCCATTATATTACATTCTATTCCATTCTATTCCTTTCCATTCCATTCCATTCAATTCGAGTACATTCCATTTCATTCCATTCGAGTCCATTCCATTCCATTCCATGCTATTGAATTTAAGTCAATTCCATTCCATTCCATTCCATTCCAGTCCGTTTTGTTCCGTTCCACTCCATTTCATTCCATTCATGTCCATTCCATTCCATTCCATTCAAGTGTGTTCCATTCCATTCCGTTCCATTCCATTGCATTCCATTCCATTCCATTCGGGTCCATTCCATTCCAATCCATTCCACTCCATTCCATTCCATTCATGTCGATTGCATTGCATTCCATTCCATTCCATTCCATTGCATTCCATTCCACTCGAGTCCATTCCTCTCGAGTCCATTCTATTCCATTCGAGTCCATTCCTTTCCATTTCATTCGAGTCCATTCCATTCCATTCCATGTCATTCCATTCAAGCCCATTCCATTCCATTCCATTCCATTCAATTCCATTATATTCCATTCCACTCTTTTCGAGTCCATTTCACTACATTCCCTTCCAGTCTGTTCCATTCCATTCTATTCCATTCCACTCCATTCCATTCCATTCCATTTGGGTCCATAACATTCCATTCTTTTGATTCCATTCACTCCAATGAAGTGCAGTCAATTCCATTCTAATCCATTGCAATCCATTCCATTCCATTCCATTCAATACCATTCCATTCTTTTTGAGTCTATTTCATTTCATTCTATTCCATTCCTCTCCAATCCATTCTATTCCATTCCATTCAGTACTCTCCATTCCATTCGGGTACATTCCATTCCATTCTTTCTAGTCCATTCCATTGCTTTCGAGTCCACTCCATTCTACTCGAGTCCATTGCATTCCATTCCATTTCATTTATTCCGAGTCCATTCCATCCCATTATATTCCATTCCTTTTGAGTCCATTCATTTCCATTCCAATCCATTCCATTTGAGCCCAATCCTTTCCTTTCCATTCAATTCCATTCCATTCCACCCCTTCCATTCGTGGCCACTCCATTCAATTCCATTTGATTCAATTCCATTCCATTCCTTTCGATTCCTTTGAATTGCATTCCATTCCATTCCTTTCGAGTCCATTGAATTCCATTCGAGTCCATTCTACTCCATTCCATTTGAGTCCATTCCATTGCATTCCATTCCATTCGAGTCTATTCCGTTCTATGCAGTTTGAGTCTATTCTATTCCATGTGAGTCCATTCCATTCCATTCCATTCTGTTCCCTTCCATTCGGTTCCATTCCATTCGTGTCCATTCCATTCTATTCAAATCCATTCCGTTCCATTCCATTGCACTTGAGTCGATTCCATTCTATTCCATTCCATTTCCGACCATTCCATTTCATTCGAGTCCATTCCGATCAATTCCATTCCATTCGACCCCACTTCATTCCATTCCATGCCATTCCATTCCATTCTTTTCGTGTCCATTCCATTCAAATCAATTCCATTCCGTTTTGTTCCGTTCCGTTCCTTTCCATTCGATTGAGTCCATTCCATTTCATTCGTGTCCATTCCGATCCATTGCATTCAATTCGAGGCCGCTTAATTCCATGCCATTCCGCTGCATTCTTTTCGGGTCCATTCAATTCCATTCCATTCCATTCGAGTTCATTTCATTCCGTTACATTCCATTCTATTCAAATGAATTCAAATCTATTCCATTCCATTGGAGTCCAGTACTCTCTATTCCGTTCGATTCCATACCATTCCATTCGAGTACATTCCATTCCATTGCATTCGAGGACATTCGGTTCCATGCTATTCCATTTGAATCCATTCAATTGAAATCCATTCGAATCCATTCCATTCCATTCCGTTCCATTCCATTCCATTTCATTTGATCCTAATCCATTCCTTTACCTTCAGTTGCAGTCCCTTCCATTCGTGGCCAATCCATTCAATTCCATTCGAGTCTATTCCATTGCATTCCATTCGATTCCATTCCATTGCATTCCATTCCATTCCTTTGAGTACATTGAATTCCATTCGAGTCCATTATATTCCATTCCATTCAAGTCCATTGAATTGCATTCCATTCTATTCGTGTCCATTCCGTTCTATTCCATTGGAATCTATTCCATTCCATGCGAGTTCATTCCGTTCTGTTCCATTCCAATCCGTTCTGTTCCGTTCCTTTCCATTTGGGTCCATTCCATTGCATGCTAATACATTCCATTCCATTCCATTGCATTCGATTCGATTCCATTGTATTCCATTCCATTCAAGTGAATTCCATTTCATTCGAGTCCATTTCAATCCATTCCATTCCATTCGAGGCCACATTTTCCCTTCCATTCCATTCCATTCTTTTGTGGTCCATTCCATTCAAATCCATTGCATTCCATTTCATTCCATTCCATTGCATTCCATTCCACCTATTCGAGTCCTTTCCATTCCATTCTTTTCCAATCCATTCAATTGGAGTCCTTTCTATTCCATTCCATTAGAGTCCATTCCATTGCATGCCACTCCATTCGAGTCTATTCGATTCGATTTTTTTCCATTACTTGCGAGTCCATTCTGTTCCATTCCGTTCCGTTCTATTCCATTCCATTCGGATCCATTCCAGTCCATTTGAATCCATTCAATTCCATTGCACTCCAGTGTATTCCATTCTATTCCATTCCATTCGAGTCCATTCCATTTCATTCGAATCCACTGTGATCCATTCATTCCATTCGAGGCCACTTGATTCCATTCAAATCCATTCCATTCCATTCCATTTCCTTCCAGTCCATTCCAATCCATTCCATTCCATCTTTTCGGTTCCATTCAATTCATTTGAATTCCATTCCATTCCATTCCTTTCCAGTACATTACATTGCATTCGATTCCATTCGAGTCCATTTCATTACATTGCTTTCCATTCCATTCAAGTTCATTCCATTCCACTGCATTCCTTTCTATTCGAGTCCATTCAATTCCATTCCATTCCATTGGAATCCATTCCACTTTATTCCGTTCGATTCCATATCATTCAATTCGAGTCCATTCCATTCCATTGCATTGGAGTCCCTTCCATTCCATGCTATTCCAATTGAGTCCATTCCATTCCATTACATTCTAATCCATTCCATTCTATTCCATTCCATTCCATTCCAGTTGAGCCCAATCCTTTCCTTTCCAATCAATTCCATTGCATTCCTTTCCACCCCTTCCATTCGCGGCCACTCCATTCAATTGCATTCGAGTCAATTCCATTGCAATCCATTCGACTCCATTCCATTGCATTCCATTCCATTCCTTTCGAGTCCATTAAATTCCATTCGAGTCCATTCTATTCCACTCCATTGGAGAACAATCCATTTCCTTCCATTCCATTCGAGTCTATTCTGTTAAATTCCATTCGAGTCTATTCCATTCCATGTGAATCCATTCCGTTCCATTCCATTTCGTTCCATAACGTTCCATTCCATTCCACTCGAATCCATCCCATTCCATTCATCTCCATTCCATTCCATGCCATTGCACTCGAGTCGATTCCATTCTATTACATTCCATTCGAGTCCATTCCATTTCATTCGAGTCCATTCCAATCCATTCAATTCCATTCGAGGTCACTTCATTCCATTCCGTTACATTCCATTCTTTTCAGGTCCATTCCATTCAAATCCATTCCATTCGTTTCCATTGCATTCCATTCCATTCCATGTTTTTGGGTCTACTCAATTCAAATGCATTGCATTCCATTCCATTCCATTCCATTCAAGTTGATTCCATTCCACTACATTCCATTCTATTCGAGTACGTCCAATTCCATTTCATTCCATTTGGGTCCTTTCCACTCTATTGCGTTCGAGTCCATCTATTCCTTTGGAGTCCATTCCAATCCAGTGCTTTCGAGTCCATTCCATTCCATGCTATTCCAATTGAATCCATTCCATTCAATTCCATTCGAATCCATTCCATTCCATTCCATTTGAGCCAAATCCATTCCTTTGGATTCAATTCCAGTCCATTCCATTCCACCCCTTCCTTTCGAGGCCACTCCATTCAGTTCCATTCGAGTCAATTCCATTACATTCCATTTGATTCCATTCCATTGCATTCCATTCCATTCCTTTTGAGTCCTTTGAATTCCATTTGAGTCCATTCTATTTCATTCCATTCGAGTCCATTCCATTCCATTCCATTCCATTCCATTCGAGTCTGTTCCATTCTATTCCACTCCAGTCTATTCCACTCCATGTGAGTCCATTCCATTCTGTTCCATTCCATTCCATTCTTTTCCATTCCATTCATTTTGGGTCCATTCCATTCCATTTGGATCAATTCCATTCCAATCCATTGCACTCAAGTCGATTCCATTCTATTCCAATCCATTCTACTGCATTCCATTTTAATTGAGTCCATTCCAATCCAATCCACTCCACTCGAGGACACTTCCTTCCATTCCATTCCATTCCATTCTTTTCGAATCCATTAATTTCAAATTCATTCTATTCCATTCCATTCCATTCCAGTACATTCCATTCCATTCCATTCCATTAGAATCCTTTTAATTCCATCCCATTCCATTCCATTCGAGTTAATTCCACTCCATTCCATTCTTTCGGGATCATTCAATTCAAATGCATTCCATTCCATTCAATTGCATTCCATTCCAGGGCTTTCCATTCCATTCCATTCTATTCGAGTCCATTTCATTCCATTCCATTCCATTCCATTCCATTCCATTCCATTCTAGTTTATTCCATTCTTATACTTTCCATTCTATTCGAGTCCATTCCATTCCATTCCATTCCATTCTATCTTTTTCGGTCCATTCAATTCAAATGCATTCCTTTCCATTCCAGTATATTCCATTCAATTACATTGCATTCCTTTCCATTCCAGTACATTCCATTCCATTCCAGTACATTCCATTCCATTCCATTCCAGTATGATCCATTCCATTCCATTCCATTCCATTCGTGTACATTTCATTCTATTCCATTCCATTCCATTCGAGTTCATTCCATTCCATTACATTCGATTCTGTTTGAGTCCATTTAATTACATTCCATTCCATTGGAGTCTACTCCACTCTATTCCATTCGAGTCCATACTATTCCATTCGAGTCCATTCCATTCCATTGCTTTCGAATCCTTTACAGTCCATGCTATTCCATTTGAATCCATTCCATTCAATTCCATTAGATTGCATTCCATTCCATTCCATTTGAGTGCAATCCATTCATTTCTATTCAACTCCAATCCATTCCAATCTACCCCTTCCATTCGTGATCACACCATTCAATTCCATTCTAATCAATTCCATTGCATTCTATTCGATTCCATTCCATTACATTTCATTCCATTTTTTTGAGTCCATTGAATTCCATTCAAGTCCATTCTATTCCATTCCAATCGAGCCCATTCCATTGTATTCCATTCCATTTGAATCTATTGCGTTATATTCCATTCGAATCTATTCCATTCCATGCGAGTCCGTTCCGTTCCATTCCATTCCGTTCCCTTCTGTTCCATTCCATTCAGGTCCATTCCATTCCATTCGAATCCATTCCATTCCATTCCATTGTACTCGAGTCGATTCCATTCTATGCCGTTCCATTTGAGTCCATTCCATTTCATTTGGGTCCATTCCGATCCATTCCATAACATTCGAGGGCACTTCATTCCATTCCATTCCATTCCATTCTTTTCGGGTCCATTCCATTCCATTACATTCATTTCGATTCCATTACATTCCATTCCCTTTGAGTCCGTTGTATTCCATTCCATTCCATTCCATTCGAATCTATTCTATTTCATTCCATTTCATTTGTGTCCTTTGCATTTCATTCCATTCCATTCCATTCCATTGCATTCCAATCCATTCATTTTGAGTCCATTCCATTCCATTTCATTTGAGTGTTTTATTCTTTTCCATTCCATTCCATTCCATATGATTCCATTCAAATCCATTCTATTTCATTCCATTTCATTCACGTACATTCCATATCATTCCCGTCCATTCCATATCATTCCATTTCATTCCATTCCATTCCATTCGAGTCTATTCCATTCCATTGCATTCCCTTCGAGTCCATTCCACAGCATTCCATTTCATTCGAGTCCATTCCATTCCATTCCACTCGAGTCGATTCCACTCCATTCAATTCTATTCCATTCCATTCTATTCCATTTCATTCTAGTCCATTCCATTCCATTCCATTCGAGTCTTTTCCATTTCATTCCATTCCATTCCCTTCCAAAACGTTCCATTCCATTCCATTGTTTTCGGGTACATTCAATTCAACTGCATTCCCTTCGAGTCCATTCTATTTCATTTTTTTCCATTCCACTCCATTCCATTCCATTTCAGCACATTTCATTCCATTACATTCCTTATGTGTCCATTCCATTCCATTTCATTGTTTTCCCTTGCAATCCTTTTGAGTCCATTCAATTGCATTGCATACCATTCCTGTCCATTCCATTTTACTCCATTCCATTCCATTCCATTCGAATTCATTCCATTCCATTCCGTTCGAGTCCATTTCATTCCATTCCATTACATTCCATTCGATTCCATTCCATGCCAATACTTTCGGTTTGACTAGAATCCATTCAAATCCATTCCATTCCAATTGAATATATTGCACTCCATTCCATTCGAGTCCATTTCTTTCCGTTCCATTCCACTGGAGTCCATTCCATTCCATTTGAGTCCATTCCATTCCAATCCATTCCATTCGATTCCTTTCCATTCCATTCTTGTCCGTTCCATTCCCTTCCTTTCCAATCCATTCCTTTCCATTATAGTCTATTCCATTCCATTTCATTCGTGTCCATTCCATTCCATTCCACTTAAGTCCTTTCTGTTTCAGTCCATTCGGGTCCATTCCTTTCCATTACGTTCTTATCGAGACCATTCCCTTCCATTTCATTCCATTCCATTCAATTTCTTTCCAGTCCTATCTATTCCATTCCATTACATTCCTTTCCATTCCATTCCATTCCATTCCATTCCATTCTATTCCATTCCTTTGGAGTCCATTCCATTCTATTGGATTCCCTTTCATTCCATTCTATTCCTTTCTATTCCATTCCATTCCATTCTATTCCATTCCTTTCCTTTCAATTCCATTACATTCAATTCCATTCCATTCCATTGCATTCCATTCCATTCCACTCCATTCTTCTCCATTCCGTTCCATTCCATAATGTTCCATTAAAACTGTGTCCAATCCATTCCATTCCATTGGAGTCTATTCTGATCAATTACATTCCATTCGAGTGCATTCCATTTCATTCGAGTCCTTTCCATTCCATTTCATTCGAGTAATTTCCATTCCACTACCTTCTATTCCATTGAAGCCCATTCCATTCCTTTCCACTCCACTCCATTCCTTTCCATTCGAGTCCATTCGATTCCATTCCATCCCATTCGAGTCAATTCCATTCCTTTCGAGTCCATTCCATTCCATTTCATTCGAGTCCCTTCCATTCCATTCCATTCTATTCCATTCGAGTGCATTGCATTGCATTCCATTCCATTCGAGTGCATTCCATTCCATTTGGGTCCATTCCATTCCATGCCATTCCAATCCATTTCTTCAAATCTATTCCATTCCATTTCAGTCCATTGAGTTCCGTTCCTTTCCATTACGTTCCATTCCATTCTGTACCTCTCCATTCCAATCCATTCCATTCCGTTCCATTCCATTCGGCTCCATTCCTTTCCATTGCATTACATTCGAATCCATTCCATTCAATTGCATTGCTCTTGAGTTAATTCCTCTCCATTTCATTCCATTCCATTCGAGTCCATGCTATTTCTTTCGGTTCAATTCCGTCTCATTCCATTCGATGCCATTTCTTTCCATTCCATTCCACTCCACTTTTTTTGGGTCCATTCAATTCAAATGCATTCCATTCCATTCCGTTCCATTCCATTCCTTTCCAGTACATTCCATTCCATTCCATTCGAGTCCATTGCATTCCATTCCATTCCATTGCATTCGTGTCCATTCCATACCATTACTTTCCTTTCTATTCAAATCCATTCAATTCTATTCCATTCTATTCGAATCCATTTCACTCCTTTCCATTGGAGTCCATTCTATTCCATTCCTTTTAACTAGAGTCCATTCCTATTCATTAGAGTCCATTCCATTGCATAACCTTGGAGTCCATTCCATTCCATTCCATTCCAGTCCATTCCATTCAATTCAAGTCCATCCCGTTCGGTTCCATTCCATGCCATTCCCTTCCATTCCGTTCCATTCCAATCCATTCGAGTTCATTCCATTCGATTCCATTCCATTGCATTCCATTCGAAGACACTCGACTCCACTCCATTCAAGTCCTTTCCGTTCCGTTCGAGTCCATTCCATTCCATTGCATTCAAGTCCATTCCATTCAATGCTCTTCCATTTCAGTCCATTCCATTCTATTCCGTTCGAGTAAATTCCATTCCCTTCCATCACATTCAAGTAAATTCATTCCATTCCATTCCATTGCATTCCATTCCATTCCATTCATGTCCATTTCATTCGATTCCATTCGTGTCTATTCCATTCCATTCCATTTGAGTCCATTCTGTTGCATTCCATTGCATTTGAATCAATTCCATTCCATTCCATTCGAGTCCATTCCACTGTATTCCATCCAAATCCTTTCGAGTCCACTCAATTCGATTCCATGAAATTTGAGTCAATTGCATTCCATTCCATTTGAGTCCATTCCTTTGCTTTCCGTTCCTTTCGAGTCTCTTCCATTCTATTGCATTCATGTCCATTCCATTCTATTCCATTAGAGTCCATTCCATTAAAATCCATTGTGTTCCATTCTGGTTCATTCCTTTCCATTCCGTTCCATTCATGACCATTCCATTCCATTTGAGTCCATTCCATTCGAATCCTTTTGAGTCCATTCAATTCCATTCATTCTATTCCATTCAAATCCATTTGATTCTATTACATACCATTCCATTCCATTCGGTTCCATTCGTTTCCATTCCATTCGAGTCCATTCCATTCCATTCGAGACCATTTCATTCCATTCCATTCCACTCGAGACCATTCCATTCCATTCCATTTGAGTCCATTCCAATACATTCCAGATCATTTGATTCCATTGCATTCCATTCCATTCGTTTCCATACCAAACGATTCCATTCCATTCCATTCAGGTGCATTCCTTTCCATTCCATTCTAGTCCATTCCACTCCACTCCATTCCATTCCATTCTATTCCATTCCATTCCTTTTGGGTCCATTCTATTCCGTTCCATACAGTTCAAGTACCATCCATTCATTTCCATTCCATTCCATTCGAGTCCATTCCATTCAATTCCATTCGAGTCCATTTCATTCCATCACATTCCATTCCATTCGTATCCATTCCACACCATTTCTTTCCATTCTACTGAAATCCATTTAATTCCATTCCATTCCATTTCAATCCATTCCACTCCATTCCATTGGAGTCCATTCTTTTCCACTCCAACTAGAGTCCATTCCAATTCATTCGATTCCAATACATTGCATAACATTTGAATCTTTTCCATTCCATTCCATTCCATTCCATTCCATTCCATTCCATTCCTTTGAAGTCCATTCAATTACATTCCGTTCTGTTTCATTCCATTCTATTCGGTTCTGTTCCATTGCATTCCGTTCCATTCCTTTCAAGTACATTCCAATCGGTTCAATTCCACTGCATTCCTTTCGAGGCCATTTGACTCCACTCCATTCGAGTCCATTCCGTTCCATTCAAGTCCATTCAATTCCATTGTATTCGTGTCCATTCCATTCCATGCTATTCCATTTCAGTCCATTCCATTCCATTTGAGTAAATTCCATTCCATTCCATCCCGTTCGAGTAAATTCCATTCCATTGCATTCCATTTCCTTCCATTCCTTTCCATCCCATTCCATTCCATTTTATTCCATTCCATCCTATTCGAGTAAATTCCATTCCATTCCATCCCTTTTGAGTAAATTGCATTCCATTCCATTCCGTTCCATTCCATTGCAATCCAGTCCATTCGAAACTCATTACATTCCAGTCCATTCTATTCCATTCCATTCTTTTCCATTCCATTCCAATTGAGCCCAGTGTATTCTATTCCATTCCATTCCATTCGAGTCCAATCGATTCCATTCTATTCCATTCAATTCCACTCAGGTCCATTTCATTCAATTCCTTTCTTGTCAATTCCATTCCATTCAATTTCAGTCCATTCCACTGCATTCCATTTCATTCGAGTCCATTCCATTCCATTCCATTAGAGTCCATTCCACTGTATTCTATCCCAATCCTTTCGAGTCCATTTAATTCCATTCCATTCCATTTGAGTCAATTACGTTCCATTCCATTTGAGTCCATTCCCTTACATTCCATTCCATTCTAGTCTCTTCCATGCTATTCAATTTAAGTCCATTCCATTCCATTCCATTAGAGTCCATGACATTTAATTCCATTGTATTGCATTCGAGTTCATTCCATTCCATTCCGTTCCATTCATGTCCGTTCCATTCCATGTGAGTCCAGTCCATTCCAATCTTTTCGAGTCCATTTCATTCCGTTCCTTCTATTCCATTCAAATCCATTCCATTCCATACCATTCCATTCCATTCCATTCCATTCCACTCCATTCAATTCTGGTCCATTCCTTTCCATTCTATTTGAGTCTATTAAATTCCACTCATGTCCATTACATTCCATTCCATTGCACTCGAGACCATTCCATTCAATTCCATTCGGGTCCATTCCTATCCATTCTATTCGATTCCATTCCAATACATTCCATCCCTTTCGATTCCATCGCATTCCATTCCATTCCATTCCATACAGGTCCATTCAATTGCATTCCTTTTGGTTCCATTCCATTCCATTCCATTCCTTGCGAGTCCATTCAATTCCGTTCCATACAATTCGAGTGCATTCCATTCCTTTCCATTCCATTCCAATCCTTTCCATTCCATTCCTTTCCATTCGAGTGCATTCCTTTCCATTCCATTAGAGTGCATTTCATTCCATTCCATTCATGTCCATTCCATACCATTGCATTCAATCTATTCAAATCCATTCCATTCCATTCCAATCCATTCCATTCCTTTCCATTGTAGTCCATTCTATTCTATTCCATTCAAATAGATTCCATTCCAATTCATTCAAGTCCATTCCATTGCATGACATTCGAGTCCATTCCATTCAATTCCATTCCATTACATTCTATTCCATTGCATTCCATTCCAGTCCACTCCTTTCTGTTGCATTCCGTTCTGTGGATTCTATTCCATTGCATTCCATTCGAGTACATTCAACTCCACTCTATTCGTGTCCATTCCACTCCATTCGAGTCCATTCCATTCCATTGAATTCGAGTCCATTCAACTCAACTCGACTCTAGTACATTCCTTTCCATTCGAATCCATTCCATTCCATTGCATTCTAGTAAATTCCATTGCATTCCATCCCATTCGAATAAATTCCATTCCATTCCATTCCGTTCGATTCCATTCCATTCCTTTCCATTCCATTCCATTCCAAACTCTTCCATTCCATTCCATTCCATTCCACTCGGGTTGATTCCATTCCATTCCATTCCATTCCAATCCATTCCATTCAACTCCATTCCACTCGGGGTGAAACCATTCCATTCCATTTCATTCCATTCCATTCCACTCCTTTCCATTCCATTCCATTCCACTCGTGTTGATTCCATTCCATTCCATTCCATTCCATTCCATTCCATTCCATTGCACTCGGGTTGATTCCATTACATTCTCTTCCATTCCATTCCATTCCATTCCATTCCATTCCATTCCATTCCATTTGATTCCATTCCAATTGGGTTGATTCCATTCCATTCCATTCCATTTCATTCCATTCCATTCCTTTCAAATCCATTCCATTCCATTCCATTCCTTTCCATTCCATTCCATTCCATTCCATTCCATTCCAATCGGTTTGATTCCATTCCATTCCATTCCTTTCTATTTCATTCCATTCCATTCCAATCCATTCCATTCCATTCCATTCCATTCCACTCGGTTTGATTCCATTCCATTCCATTCCATTCCGTTCGATTCCTTTCCACTCGAGTTGATTCCATTACATTCTATTGCATTCGAGGCCACTTCATGCTATTCCATTCCATTCAGTTCCATTCCCTTCCATTCCATTCCCTTCCATTCCATTCAGCTCGAGTTGATTCCATTCCATTCTGTTATATTCCATTCCATTCCATTCCATTCCATTTCATTCCATTCCACTCGAGTTTATGCCATTCCATTCTATTGCATTCGAGGCCATTTTCTTCCTTTCAATTCCATGCCATTCCATACTATTTGGGTCCTTTCAATTCAAATGCTTTCCATTCCATTCCATTCCATTCAATTCAATTCCATTGCATTCTAGTTGATTGCTTTGCAGTCTATTGCATTCCATTTCTTTCATTGCCGTTACATTCCATTACGTTCCATTCTACTCGATTTGATTCCCTTCCATTCTATTGCATTTGAGGCCACATCATCCCATTCCATTCCATTCCATTTCATTCCATTCCATTCCAATCCATTCCATTCCTTTCCATTCCATTCCATTCCATTCCATTCCATACCATTCCATTCCACTCCATTCCACTCTAGTTGATTATCTTCCATTCTACTGCACTCATTTCCATTTCATTCCATTCCAATCCATTCCATTCCATTCCACTCGAGTTGATTCCATTCCCATCTATTGTATTCCATTCCAGTCCATTCCCTTCCATTCCATTCCATTCCATTCCATACCATTCCATTCCACTCCATTCCACTCTAGTTGATTCCATTCCATTCTACTGCACTCATTTCCATTTCATTCCATTCCAATCCATTCCATTCCATTCCACTCGAGTTGATTCCATTCCCATCTATTGTATTCCATTCCATTCCATTCCCTTCCATTCCATTCCATTCCAATCCATTCCATTCCATTCCATTCCATTCCATTCCATTCCACTCGAGTAGATTCCATTCCCATCTATTGTATTACATTCCAGTCCATTCCCTTCCATTCCATTCCATTCCAATCCATTCCATTCCATTCCTTTCCATTCCACTCGAGTTGATTCCATTCCATTATATTGTATTCGAATCCACTTCATTCCATTGAAATCCGTTCCATTATTTTCAGGTTCATTCAATTAAAATGCATTCCAACCCATTCCATTCCATTCCATTCCATTCCATTCCACTCCATTCCTCTCCATTCCATTCCATTCCATTCCATATGAATTGAATCCATTTCACTCTCTTGCATTCCATTCCATTCCATTCCATTCCACTGTTTTCGAGTACATTCAATTAAAATGTATTCCATTCAATTCCAATACAATCCATTCCATTCCATTCCAGTCCAGTGAATTCCATTGTGGTTCATTCCATTCTATTCTATTAAATTCCATTCAATTGCATTCCATTCTATTAAATTCCATTCCATTCCATTCCACTGTGGTTCATTCCATTCTATTCTATTAAATTCCATTCCATTCCATTCCATTCCATTCCATTCCATTCCATTCCATTCCACTCGGGTTGATTCCATTCCATTCCAGTCCATTCCATTCTATTCTATTCGGCTTGATTCCATTCCATTGCCTTCCATTCCATTCCCTTCCATTCCATTCCATTCGGCTTGATTCCATTCCATTCCCATCCATTCCATTCCATTCTATTCCATTCCGATCCATTTTACTCATATTGATTCCATTTCTTTCCATTCTATTCCATTCTATTCCATTCCATTACATTACATTCCAGTCAGGTTGATTCAATTCCATTCCATTCCATTCCTTAACATTCCATTCCATACCATTCCATTCCATTCCACTCGTGTTGATTACATTCTATTCTATTACATTCCATTCCATTCAATTCCAGTCCATTCCATTCCATTCCATTCCACTAGGGTTGATTCCTTTCCATTCCATTCAATTTCATTCCATTCCATTCCATTCCATTCCATTCATTTCCATTCCATCGCATTCCATTCAATTGCATTCCATTGCATTCAATTCCACTCGGGATGATTCATTTCCATTCCATTCCATTGCACTAGGGTTGATTCCATTACATTCCATTTCCAATCCATTCCATTCCATTCCACCAGGTTTGATTCCATTCCATTCCATTCCATTCTATTGCATTCCGTTCCATTCAAATCAGGTTGATTCAATTCCATTCCTTTGCATACCATTCCATTGCATTCCATTCCATTCCATTCCAATCGTGTTGATTACATTCCATTCTATACCATTGCGTTCCATTCAATTCCATTCCAATCCATTCCATTCCATTTCATTCCATTCCATTCCATTCCATTCCATTCCACTTGGTTTGATTCCATTCCATTCCATTCCATTCCATTCCATTCCATTCCTTTCCATTCCATTCCATTCCTTTCCATTCCATTCCATTCCATTCCATTACTTTCCATTCCATTCAATACCATTCCATTCCATTCCCTTAAACTAGGGATGATTCCTTACCATTCAATTCCATTCCATTCCTTTCCATTCCATTCCATTCCATTCCATTCCATTCCATTCCATTCCTTACCCTTCCACTCAGGATGATTACTTTCCATTCCATTGCATTCCATTCCATTCAGTTCCATTCCATTCCATTACACTCAGGATGTTTCAATTCCATTCCATTCCATTCCATTCCTTTCCGTTCAAATCGTGTTGATTGCATTCCATTCCATTTCATTCCTTTCAATTCCATTCCATTCCATTCCATTACATTCCACTCGTGTTGATTCCATTCCATTCCATTCCATTCCATTCCATTCCATTCCATTCCATTCCATTCCATTCCATTCCATTCCATTCCACTGGGGTTGATTCCATTCCATTCCATTCCATTCCATTCCATTCCATTCCATTCCATTCCACTCGGGTTGATTCCTTTCCGTTATATTGCATTCCATTCCATTCCATTCCATGCCATACCTTTCCATTTGGCTTGATTCCATGCCATTCCCTTCAATTACATTCCATTCCAATCCTTTCCATTCCATTCAATTCCATTCCATTCCATGCCATTCCACTCGGGATGACTCCTTTCCATTCCATTCCATTCCTTTCCATTCCATTCCATTCCATTCAGTTATATTCCATTCCATTCCACTCGGAATGATTCAATTCCATTCCATTACACTCCATTCCATCACATTACATTCCACTGAATTTCACTCCATTCCATTCCATTCCATTCCGTTCCATTCCATGCCATTGCATTCCATTCCACTCGGGTTGATTCCATTCCATTCCATTGCACTCAGGTTGATTCCATTCCATTCCACTCCTTTCCATTCCATTCAATTCCATTCCATTCCATGCCATTCCACTCGGGATGACTCCTTTCCATTCCATTCCATTCCTTTCCATTCCATTCCATTCCATTCAGTTATATTCCATTCCATTCCACTCGGAATGATTCAATCCCATTCCATTACACTCCATTCCATCACATTACATTCCACTGAATTTCACTCCATTCCATTCCGTTCCATTCCATGCCATTGCATTCCATTCCACTCGGGTTGATTCCATTCCATTCCATTGCACTCAGGTTGATTCCATTCCTTTCCATTCCATTCCATTTCATTCCATTCCACTCCATTCCACTCCGTTTAATTCCAATCCATTCCATTACTTTCCACTCAGGTAGGTTCCACTCCATTCCATTCCATTCCTATCCATTCCATTCCATTCCTTTCCATTCTATTCCATTCCTTTCCATTCCATTCCATTCCATTCCGTTCCATTTCACTCGAGATGATTCCATTCCGTTCCATTTCATTCTCTTCAATTTCATACCATTCCATTCCATCCCATTCCATTCCATTCCATTCCATTCCATTCCATTCCACTCAGGTGTATTCAAATCCATTCCATTCCATTCCATTCCATTCCTTTCCATTCCATTCCATTCCATTCCACTCGCGTTGATTCCATTCCTTTCCATTCCATTCCATTCCATTCTATTCCATTCCTTTCCATTCCACTCCATTCAACTCAGTTTGATTCCGTTCCATTCTATTCCATTCCATTCCATTCCATTCCATTCCATTCCACTCGGGTTGATTCAATTCCATTCCATGCCACTTCATTCCATTCTTTACATTGCATTCCATTCCATTCCATTCCATTTCACTCGGGTTAATTCCATTCCATTCCATACCGTTCCATTCCATTCCATTCCATTCAGGTTGTTTCCATTCCATTCCATTCAATTCCACTCGGGTTAATTCCATTCCATTCCATTCCATTCCACTCAGGTAAATTCCATTCCATGCAATTCCATTCCACTCAGGTTGATTTCACTCCATTCCATTCCATTCCATCCCATTCCATTCCATTCCGTTCCTTTCCATTCCATTCCATTCCATTCATTACCATTCCATTCCATTCCATTCCATTCCTTTCCACTCAGGTTGGTTCCACTCCATTCCTTTCCATTCCATTCCATTCCATTCCTTTCCATTCTACTTCATTCCTTTCCATTCCATTCCATTACATTACATTACATTCCACTCGGCATGATTCCATTCCATTCCTTTTCTTTCCGTTCCATTCCATTCCATTCCATTCCATTCCATTCCATTCCACTCAGGTGTATTCAAATCCATTCCATTCCATACTACTCCATTCGATTCCTTTCCCTTCCATTCCATTCCACTCGGGTTGATTCCATTCCTTTCCATTCCATTCCATTCCGTTCCATTCCATTCCACTCCATTCAACTCGGTTTGATTCTGTTCCATTCCATTCTATTCCATTCCATTCCATTCCACTCTGGTTAATTCCATTCCATTCCATTCCGTTCCATTCCATGCCATTCCATTCAGGTTGTTTCCATTCCATTCCATTCCATTCCACTCAGGTTGATTCCATTCCATTCGGGTTGATTCCATTCCATTCCATTCCATTCCATTCCATTCCATTCCATTCCATTCCATTATATTCCACTCGGGTTGATTCCATTCCATTCCATTCCATTCCATTCCATTCCACTCGGGTTTATTCCATTCCATTCCATTCCATTCCATTCCGTTCCATTCCATTCCATTCCACTTGGGTTGATTCCATTCCATTCCATTCCATTCCATTCCATGCCATACCTTTCCATTTGGCTTGATTCCATGCCATTCCCTTCAATTACATTCCATTCCAATCCTTTCCATTCCATTCAATTCCATTCCATTCCATGCCATTCCACTCGGGATGACTCCTTTCCATTCCATTCCATTCCTTTCCATTCCATTCCATTCCATTCAGTTATATTCCATTCCATTCCACTCGGAATGATTCAATTCCATTCCATTACACTCCATTCCATCACATTACATTCCACTGAATTTCACTCCATTCCATTCCAATCCATTCCATTCCATTCCATTCCACTCAGTTGATTGCATTCCATTCCATTCCATTCCATTCCATTCCATTCCATTCCATTCCACTTTGGTTGATTGCATTCCATTCCATTCCATTCCACTCCATTCCATTCCATTCCGTTCCACTCGGGATGATTTCATTTCATTCCATTCCAATCCATTCCATTCCATTTCATTCCACTGGAGTTGATTCCATTCCATTCTATTCCATTCCATTCCATTCCATTCCATTGCATTCCATTCCATTGCATTCCATTCAACTGATATTGATTCCATTGCATTCCATTCCCCTCCATTCCATTCTATTCCATTCCACAGGGGATGATTGCATTCTATTGCATTCCAGTCCATTCTATTCCATTCCATTTCATTCCATTCCACTGGAGTTGCTTCCATTCCATTCTATTCCATTCCTTTCCATTCCACTCCGTTCAATTCCGTTCCATTCCATTCCATTCCATTCCTTTCCATTCCATTCCGTTCCATTCCATTCCACTGTTATTGATTCCATTCCATTCCATGCAATTCCATTCCATTCCACTCGGGTTGATTCGATTCCATTCCATTCCATTCCATTCCATTCCATTCCATTCCATTCCATTTCACTCGGGTTGATTCCATTCCTTTCCATTCCATTTCATTCATCTCAGGTTAATTCCAATCCATTCCATTCCATTCCATTACATTACATTACATTACATTACATTCCACTCAGGTTAGTTCCCCTCCATTCCATTCCATTCCACTCCATTCCATTCCATTCCGTTCCTTTCCATTCCATTCCATTCCTTTCCATTCCTTTCCATTCCATTCCATTCCATTCCATTCCACTCAGGTGTATTCAAATCCATTCCATTACATTCCACTCCACTAAATTCCTTTCCATTCCATTCCATTCCACTCGGGTTGATTCCATTCCTTTCCATTCCATTCCATTCCATTCCATTCCACTCCATTCAACTCGGTTTGGTCCCTTTCCATTCCATTCCATTCCATTCCATTCTATTCCACTCGGGTTGATTCCATTCCATTCCATTCCATTCCATTCCATTCCACTCGGGTTGATTCAAATCTATTCCGTTCCATTCCATTGCATTCCATTCCATTCCATTCCTCTAGGGTTGGTTCCATACCATTCCATTACATTACATTACATTCGACTCTTGTTGATTGCATTCTACCCCATTCCGTTCCACTCCATTCCATTGCATTCCACTCGGGATGATTCCATTCCATTCCATTTCAGTCCATTCCATTCCATTCCACTCCATTCCATTCCATTCCACTGGGGTTGATTGCTTTCCATTCTATTCCATTCCATTCTATGGCATTCCATTCCATTGCATTCCATTCTACCAGTATTGTTTCCATTCCATTCCATTCCATTCCACCCACGCTGATTCAATTCCATTCTATTCCATTCCATTCCGTTTCATTCCATTCCATTCCACTCATGTTGATTCCATTCCATACCATTCCATTCCATTCCATTCCACTCTGGTTGATTCCATTCCATTCTATTCCATTGCATTCCATACCATTCCATTCCACTCCGGTTGATTCCATTCCATTCCATTCCATTCCAATCCATTCCATTCCATTGCATTCCATTCCATTCCATTCCATTCAATTCCATTCCATTCCAATCAATTACATTCCATTCCCCTTGGGTTGGTTCCATTCCATTCTATTTCAAATCATCCCATTCCATTCCACTCCATTCCATTGCAATCCATTCCATTCCATTTTATTCCATTCCACTGTTATTGATTGTATTCCATTCCATTCCATTCTATTCCATTCCATCCCATTCCATGCCATTCCACTCGGGTTTATTCCATTCCATGCTATTATATTCCATTCCATTCCATTCCATTCCTATCCATTCGTGTTGATTCCATTCCATCCAT
>NT_187384.1:10481-13700 GCF_000001405.40 Homo sapiens | reverse complement strand
ATGGATGGAATGGAGGGGAATGGAATGCAATAGAATGGAATTGAATCAACCCGAGTGGAATGGAAAGGAATGCAACGAAATGGAATGAAATGGAATGGAACAGAACAGAAAGTAATGGAATGGAATATAATGGAATGGAATGGAAGGGAACGGATTGGAATAGAATGGATTCGAACCAACCCGAGTGGAATGGAATGGAATGGTATGGAATGGAATGGAATAGAATGGAACTGAATAAACTGGAAGGGAATGGAATGGAAAGGAATGCAATGGAATGGAATGGAATGGAATAGAAAGGAAATGAATCAAACCGAGTGCAATGGAATGGCTAGAATGGAATGGAATTGAATGGAATGAAATGGAATGGAATGGAATGGAAGAGAATGGAATTGAATCAACTGCAATGGAATGGAATGGAATGGAACGGAATGAAATGGAATGGAATATAATGGAAAGGAATGCAATGGAATAGAATGGAATTGAATCACCCAGAGTGGTGTGGAATAGATTGGAATGGAATGGAGTGGAATGGAATGGAACGGAACGGAATGGAATGGAATGGAAAGGAATGGAATGGAATGGAAAGGAATGGAATGGAATGGAAAGGAAAGGAAAGGAATGGAATGGAATGGAATGGAATCGAATGGAATAGAATGGAATTGAATGCAAAAGAGAGGAATGGAATGGATTGGAATTGAATGGAATGGAATGGAAAGGAACTCAATGGAATGCAATGGAATGGAATAGAATAGAATTGTGTCAACGCGAGTGGAATGGAATGGAATGGAATGGAATGGAATGGAATGGAATGGAATCAACCCGAGGGAAATGGCATGTAATGGAATTTAATGGAATGGAATTCAATGGAATTCAGTCAACATGAGAGGAAGAAATGGAATAGAATGGAATGGAATGGAGTGGAATTGAATCAACTGGAATAGAATGGAATGGAATGCAATGGTATGGAATTGAATGGAATTAACTTAAGTGGAATGGAATGGAATGGAATGCAATTGAATAGAATGGAGTGGAATCAACTGGAATGGAATGGAATGGAATGGAAAGGAATCAACCTAAGTGGAATGGAATGGAATAGAATGCAATGTAATAGAATGAATTTGAATCAAATGGAATGGAATGGAATGAAATGCAATAGAGTGGAATGGAATGGAACCAACTGGAAAGTAATGAAATGGAATTGAATGGAATAGAATGGAATGGAATCAACTGGAATGGAATAGAATGCAATGGAAATTAACCTAAATGAAAGGCATGGAAAGGTATCGAATGGAATGGAATGGAATGGAATGGAATCAATCCGAGGGGAATGGAATGCAATGGAATGCAATGGAATGGAATGTAAGAGAATGGAATTGAACCAACGCCAGGGGAATGCAATGGAATGGAAAGGAATGGAATGGAAACGAATGGAATGGAATGGAATGGAATGGAACTGAGTCAACTGGAAGACAATGGAATGGAAGGGAGTGGAATCCAATGGAATGGAATAGAGTGGAATAGAATGGAATTGCATCAAATGGAATGGAATGGAATGGATTGGAATGGAATGGAATGGAAATGAATCAACCCTAGTGGAATGCAATGCAGTGGAATAGAATTGAACGGTCCCGGGTGCAATGGAATGGAATGGAATGGAATGCAATATAATAGAAGGGAATTGAATCAACTGGAATGGAATGGAATGGATTGGAATGCAGTTGAATGGAACAGAATGGAAAGGAATGCAATTGAATCAACTGGCATGAAATGGAATGGAATGGAATGGAATGGTATGGAATGGAATAGATTCAACCTGAGTTTAATGCAATGGAATGGAATGGAATGGAATAAACTGGAATGGAATGGAATAGAATTGAATTGTATAAACTGGAATGGAATGGAATTGAATGGTATGTTATGGAACGGAATGGAATGGAATTGAATCAACCCGAGTGGAATGGAGTGGAATGGAATGGAATGGAATGGAATGGAATGGAATGGAATGGAACGGAATGGAATGGAATAGAAGGGAAATGAAACAACCCGAGTGTAATGGAATGGAGTGAAATGGAATGGAATGGAATGGAATGGAATAGAATAGAATGGAATGGAATCAAATGGAATGGAATGGAATGGAATGGAATTTAATGGAATGCAATGGAATTAAATCAACCCGAGTGGAATGGAATGGAATGGAATAGAATGGAATGGAATGGAATTGAAAGGAATTGAATCAATCCGAGGGGAATGGAATGGAATGGAATCGAATCGAATGGAGTCGAACCAACTAAAGGGGAATGGAATGGAAAAGAATACAATGGAATGGAACTGAATCAACTGGACTGGAATGGAATTTAATGGAATCGAATGGAATAGAATTGAAATGAATCATCCCGGGTGGAATGGAATGGAATGGAATGGAATGGAATGGAATAGAAAGAAATTGAATCAACCCGAGGGGAGTGGAATGGAATGGAACGGAATGGATTGGAATGGCATGGAATGGAATGGAATGGAATCAACCCGAGTAGAATGGAATGGAATGGAATGGAATGGAAAGGAATGGAATCGAATGGAATGGAATGGGAAGGAATAGAATGGAATTGAATCAAACAGAGAGGAGTGGAATGGATTGGAATGGAATGGAATGCAATGGAATGGAATGGAATAGAATGGAATTGAATGAAACCGAGTAGAGTGTATTGGAATGGAATGGAATGGAATGGAGTGGAATGGAAAGGAATAGAATGGAATGAAATGGATTGGAATGGAACAGAATGGAACTGAATCAACAGAAGTGTAATGGAATGGAATGGAATGGAATAGAATTGAATGAAACCTAGCAGAATGGAATTTAATGGAATGAAATGGAATGGAATGGAATGGAATATAATGGAATTGAATGAACTGGAATCGAATGGAATTCAATGGAATAGAATGGAATGGAATGAAATGGAATCCCCAGGAATTCAGTGGTATGGAATGGAATGGAATGGAATGGAATGGAATGGAACGGAAAGGAGTAGGATGCAATGGAGTAGAATGCAATTGAATCAACCCTAGTGAAACGGAATGGAATGGAATGGAATAGAATTGAATCAACACGAGTGGAATGTAATGTAATGTAAAGGAATGGAATGGAATGGAATAGAATGGAATGCAATTGAATGGAATGGAATGGAATGGAATGGAATGGAATGGAATGGAATTAACCCGAAG
>NT_187384.1:0-6580 GCF_000001405.40 Homo sapiens | reverse complement strand
CTCGGGTTTATTCCATTCCATGTTATTATATTCCATTCCATTCCATTCCATTCCTACCATTCGTGTTGATTCCATTCCATTCCATTCCACTCCATTCCATTCTATTCCATTCCATTCCACTCGGGTTTATTCCATTCCATTCCATTCCATTCCATTCCAAAACATTCCATTCCATTCCACTCTGGTGGATTCAATTCCATTCCATTCCATTCCATTCCATTCCATTCCTTTCCATTCCATTCCATTCCATTCCACTATGGTTGATTTCATTCCATTCCATTCGATTCCACAACATTCCATTCCAGTTGGGTTGATTCCATTCCATCAATTGAACCAACTAGAATGGAATCGAATAGAATGGTATAACATGGAATGAAATGGAATTGAATCAACTATGGAAGGGAATGGAATGGAATGGAATAGAATGGATATGAATTGACTGTGATGGAATGGAATGGAATGGAATGGAATGGAATGGAATGGAATGGCATGGAATAGAACGGAATTGACTCGACTCTAGTGTAATGGAATGGAATGACGTGGAATGGAATGCAATGGAATGGAATCGACTCCAGTGGAATGGAATGGAATGGAATGGAATGGAATGGAATCGACACGAGTGGAATGGAATGGAATGGAATGGAATGGAATGGAATGGAATGGAATGGAATCCATCCGAGTGGAATGGAATGGACTGGAATGGAATGGAATCAACACGACTGGAATGGAATGGAATGGAATGGAATGGAATGGAATGGAATGGAATGGAATAGAATGGAATCAACACGAGTGGAATGGAATAGAATGAAATGGAATGGAATCGAAAGGAATGGAATGGAATCAACTGGAATGGAATGGAATGGAATGGAATCGAATAGAATGGAATTGTATCACTTGGAATGGAAAGGAAAGCAATGGAATGAAATGGAAGGGAATGGAATGGAAAGGAATCAAACCGAGTGGAATAGAATGGCATGGAATAGAATGGAATCAACCAGAGTGGAATGGAATGGAATGGAATTGAAAGGAAAGGAATAGAATGGAATTGTATCAACTCGCATGGAAGGAATGGAATGGAATGGAATAGAATGGAATTGAATCAACCCGAGTGGAATGCAATGGAATGGAATGCAACAGAATGGAATAGAATCAACCCGAGTGGAATGCAACGGAATGGAATGGTATGGAATAGAATGGAATGGAATGGAATGGAATGGAATGGAATGGAATGGAATAGAATGAAATGGAATGGAATGGAATACAACAGAATGGAATGAACTCGAGTGGAATGGAATGGAATATAACGGAATCAACTCGAATGGAATGGAATGGAATGGAATGGCATTGAATGGAATAGAAAGGAATAGAATCAACTGAAATCGAATGGAATGGAATGGACTGGAATCAACCCGAGTGGAATGGAATGGAATGGAATGGAAATGAATAGAATGGAATTCAGTCAACCCGACTGCATTGGAATGGATTGGAATGGAATGGAATGGATTAGAATGGAATTGGATGAATCCGAGTGGAGTGGAATGGAATGGAATAGAATGGAATGGTGTTAAATGGAATGGAATAGAATGGAATAGAATCAACCCGAGTGGAATGCAAAGGAAATTAAAGGAATGGAATGGAATGGAATGGATTGGAACGGAAGGGAATGGAATTGAATCAAACCTAGTGGAATGGAATGGAATAGAATTGAATCAAGCCTAGTGGAAGGGAATTTAATGGAATGAAATGGAATAGAATGGAGTGGAATAGAATGGAATTGAATCAACCGGACTCGAATGGAATTGAATGGAATAGAATGGAATGGAAAAGAATGGAATCAACTGTAATGCAATGGAATGGAATGGAATGGAATGGAATGGAATGGAATGGAATGGAATGGAGTGCGATGAAACGGAATAGAATGGAATTGAATCAACCCAAGTGGAATGGAATTTAATGCAATGGAATAGAACTGAATCAACCCGAGTGGAATGGAATGGAATGAAATGGAACGAAATGGAATGCAATGGAATAGAATGGAATTGAATCAACTGGAATGGAATGGAATGCAATGGAATGGAATAGAATGGAATACAATGGAATTAAATCAACTAGGATGGAATGGAATTGAATGGAAAGCAATGAATTAGAATAGAATTCAATCAACTGCAATGGAATGGAATGGATTGGAATGGAATGGAAAGCAATAGAATGGAATTGAATCAACCCGAGTAGAATGGAATGGAATGGAATGGAATGGAATGGAATGGAATGGAATGGAATGGAATGGAATGCAATGCCAATCAAAGGAAAGGAATGGAATGTAGTGGAATGGAATGGAATGGAATGCAGTGGAATGAATTCAACCCAAGTGGAATGGAAAGCAATGGAATGGAATGGAATGGAATTAAATGGAATGGAATGGAATAGAATGGAATTGTATCAATCCGAGTGGAATGGAATGGAATGGAATGCAACGGATTGGAAGGGAATGGAATGGAATCAATTGGAATGGAATGGAATGGAATTGTATGGAATGGAACGGAATGGAATAGAATGGAATTGAATCAACTGGAATGAAATGGAATGGAATTGAACGGAATGGAATGGAATGGATCCGAATGGAACAGAATGGAATTGAATCAACTGGAATGTAATGTACTGGAATGGAATGGAATCGAATAGAATGGAATGGAAGGGAGTGGGATGGAATGGAATGGAAACAAAGCGAGTGGAATGGAATGGAACGGAATGGAATTCAATGGAATGGAATAGAATGGAATGGAAGAAACTCCAATGCAATGGAATGAAATGGAATGGAATGGACTGGACTGGAATGGAATGGAATGGAATAGTATGGAATTGAATAATCTGGAATAGAATGGAATGGAATGTAATGGAAAGTAATGGAATAGAATGGAATGACATGTAATAGAATGGAATTGAATCAACTGGAATGGAATGGAATGGAATGGAATGGAATGGAATGGAATCAACCCGAGTGCAATGGAATGGAATGGAATGCAATGGAATGGAATGGAATGGAATCGAAAGGAATGGAATGGAATCAACTGGAATGGAATGGAATGGAATGGAATGGAATGGAATGGAATGGAATCGAATAGAATGGAATTGTATTAATTGGAATGGAAAGGAAAGCAATGGATTGAAATGGAAGGGAATGGAATGGAAAGGAGTCAAACCGAGTGGAATAGAATGGCATGGAATGGAATGGAATCAACCAGAGTGGAACGGAATGGAATGGAATTGAAAGGAAAGGAATAGAATGGAATTGTATCAACTCACGTGGAAACGAATGGAATGGAATGGAATAGAATGGAATTGAATCAACCCGAGTGGAATGCAATGGAATGGAACGGAGTGGAATGCAATGTAATGGAACAGAATGGAATAGAATCAACCCGAGTGGAATGCAATGGAATGGAATGGTATGGAATAGAATGGAATGGAATGGAATACAACAGAATGGAATGAACCCAAGTGGAATGGAATGGAATGGAATATAACAGATTCAACTGGAATGTAATGGAATGGAATGGAATGGCATTGAATCGAATAGAAATGAATAGAATCAACTGAAATCGAATGGAATGGAATGGAATGGAATGGACTGGAATCAACCCGAGTGGAATGGAATGAAACGGAATGGACTGGAATAGAATGGAATTGAATCAACCCGAGTGGAATGGAATGGAATGGAATGGAAAGGAATGAAATGGAATGGAAACAACCCGAGTGGAATGGATTGGAATGGAATGGAATGGAATGGAATGGAATGGAATGGAATGGATTCGAATGGAATGCAAGGAAATCAACCATAGTGGAATGGAATGGAATGGAATGGAATGGAATGGAATGGAATGGAATGGAATGGAATCAACCCGAGTGGAATGGAATGGAATGGAATGGAATGGAACACAATGGAATTGAATCCATTCGAGTGGAATGGAATGGAAGGGAATGGAATGGAATCAACCGCCGTGTAATAGAAAGGAATGGAATGGAATGGAATGGAATGGAATGGAATGGAATGGAATGGAATGGAGTTGAATCAAACTGACTGGAATGTAATGTTATCGAATGTAATGGAGTGGAATGGAATGGGTTAGAATGGAATTAAATCAATCCGAGTGACATGAAGAGGAATGGAATGAATTCGAATGGAATGGAATGGAATGGAATGGAAACAACACGAATGGAATGGAACGGAATGGAATGGAATGGAATGGAATGGAATCCATCCGAGAGGAATGGAATGGAATGGAATCAAATAGAATAGAAAAGAATACAATAGTATGGAATTGAATCAACTGGAATGGAATGGAATGGAATGGAATGGAATGGAATGGAGTTGAGTGGAATGGAAAGGAATGGAATGGAGTGGAGTGGAATGGAAAGGAATGGAATGGAAATGAATCAATTCGATTGGAATGGAATGGAATGGAAAGGAATGGAATAGAATGCAATGGAAAGGAATGGAATGGAAATGAATAGAATGGAATTGAGTGAAACCGAATGGAGTGGAATGATTTGGAATGGAATGGAATGCAATGGAATAGAATGGAATTGAATGAACCTGAGTAGAGTGGAATGGAATGGAATGGAATGCAATAGTGTGGAATGGAATGGAATTCAATGGAATAGAATCATACCGAGTGGAATGGAATGGATTGGAATGGCATGGAATGGAATGGAATGGAGTCAACCCGAGTGGAATGGAATGTAATGGAATGGAATGGAATGGAATCGACTCGAGTGGAATCGAATGGAGTGGAACTGAATGGAATGGAATGGAATAGAATGGAATCGATACCAGAGTGGAATGGGAATGGAATGGAAGCGAATGGCATGGAATGGAATGGAATCGAACAGAGTGGAATGGAATGGAATGGATTGGAATGGAATGGAATGGAATCGAGTGAAATGGAATAGAATGGAATTGAATCAAATGGAACGGAATGGATTTGAATTGTATGGAATGGAATGGAATGGAATCAACCCGAGTGGAATGGAATGGAATGGAATGAAATAGATTGGAATTCGATCAATCTGAGTGGAATGGAATGGTATGCAATGGAATGGAATGGAATCGAATCGAAGGGAATGGAATGGAATGGAATAAACTGGAATGGATTGGAATGGAATGGAATGGAATGAACTGGATTGGAATGGAATGGAAAGGAATGGAATGAAAAAGAATGGAATAGAATGGAATTGAATCAACTGGAAAGGAATGGAATGGAATGGAATGGAATGGAATGGAATGGAATGGAATGGAATCAAACCGAGTGTAATGGAATGGAATGTAGTGGAATGGAATGGAATGGAATGGAATACAATTGAATCAAGGAGAGTGGAATGCAATGGAATGGAGGGCAATGGATTGGAATGGAATGGAATGGAATGGAATGGAATGGAATGGAATGGAATCAAATGGAATGCAATGGAAGGGAATGGATTGGAATGGAATGGAATGGAATGGAATGGAATCAACCCGAGTGGAATGGAATGGAATGGAATGGAATGGAATGGAATGGAATGGAATGGAATGCAATGGAATGGAATGGAATGGAATGGAATGGAATGGAATGGAATGGAATGGAATGGAATGGAATGAAATTGAATCAACTGGAATGGATTGGAATGGAATCGATTGGAATGGAAAAGAATGGAATGGAATTGAATCAACCAGAGTCAAATGGAAGGGAATGGAATGTAATGGAATGGAATGGAAAGGAATTGAATCAACCTGAATGCAGTCAAAAGGAATGGAGTCGAAAGGAATGGAATGGAATAGAATGGAATAGAATGGTATAGAATGGAGTTGAATCAACCCGAGTGGATTGGAATGGATTTGAATGGAATGGAATGGAATTGAACCAACCCGAGTGGAATGGAATGGTGTGGAATGGAATGGAATGAAATGGAGTAGAATGGAATTCAATCAACCCGAGTGGAATGGAATGGAATGGAATGGAATGGAATGGAATAGAATGGAAAAGAGTGGAATCAACTGGAATGGAATGGAATGGTATGGAATAGAATGGAACTGAATCAACTGGAATGGAGAGAAATGGAATAGATTGCGAGTGGAATGGAATGGAACGGAATGGAATTCAATGGAATGGAATCGAATGCAATGGAAGAAACTCCAATGCAATGGAATGAAATGGAATGGAATGGACTGGAACGGAATGGAATGGAATGGACTAGTATGGAATTGAATAATCTGGAATCGAATGGAATGGAATGTAATGGAAAGTAATGGAATAGAATGGAATGACATGTAATAGAATGGAATTGAATCAACTGGAATGGAATGGAATGGAATGGAATGGAATGGAATGGAATGGAATGGAGTGAACCCGAGTGGAATGGAATGGAATGGAATGGAATGGAATGGAATGGAATAGAATGGAATAGAATGGAATTGAATCAGCACGAGTGGAATGGAATGGAATGGAAAGCAATGGAATAGAATGGATTTGAATTAACCATAATGGAATGTAATGGAATGGAATACAAAGGAATGGAATGGAATGGCATGGAACAGAACGGAATG
>NC_000017.11:81797727-81798717 GCF_000001405.40 Homo sapiens | reverse complement strand
GACTGGTTTCGTTTTTTTTTTGGTGGAGACGGGGTTTCGCTGTGTTGGCCGGGCTGGTCTCCAGCTCCTAGCCGCGAGTGATCCGCCAGCCTCGGCCTCCCGAGGTGCCGGGATTGCAGATGGAGTCTCGTTCACTCAGTGCTCAATGGTGCCCAGGCTGGAGTGCAGTGGTGTGATCTCGGCTCGCTGCAACCACCTCCCAGCCGCCTGCCTTGGCCTCCCAGAGAGCCGAGATTGCAGCCTCTGCCCGGCCGCCACCCCGTCTGGGAAGTGAGGAGCGTCTCTGCTTGGCCACCCATCGTCTGGGATGTGAGGAGCCCCTCTGCCTGGCTGCCCAGTCTGGAAAGTGAGGAGCGTCTCCGCCCGGCCGCCATCCCATCTGGGAAGCGAGGAGCGCCTCTTCCCCGCCGCCATCCCATCTAGGAAGTGAGGAGCGTCTCTGCCCGGCCGCCCATCGTCTGAGATGTGGGGAGCACCTCTGCCCCGCCGCCCTGTCTGGGATGTGAGGAGCGCCTCTGCCTGGGCCGCAGCCCTGTCTGGGAGGTGGGGAGCGTCTCTGCCCGGCCGCTCCGTCTGAGAAGTGAGGAAACCCTCTGCCCCGCAGCCGCCCCGTCTGAGAAGTGAGGAGCCCCTCCGTCCGGCAACCACCCCGTCTGGGAAGTGAGGAGCGTCTCCGCCCAGCAGCCGCCCCGTCCGGGAGGGAGGTGGGGGGGGTCAGCCCCCCGCCCGGCCAGCCGCCCCGTCCGGGAGGTGAGGGGCTCCTCTGCCCGGCCGCCCCTACTGGGAAGTGAGGAGCCCCTCTGCCCGGCCAGACGCCCCGTCCAGGAGGGAGGTGGGGGGGTCAGCCCCCCGCCCGGCCAGCCGCCCAGTCCGGGAGGGAGGTGGGGGGTCAGCCCCCCGCCCGGCCAGCCGCCCCGTCTGGGAGGGAGGTGGGGGGATCAGCCCCCCGCCTGGCCAGCCGCCCCATCCGGGAGGTGAGGGGCGCCTCTG
>NC_000017.11:81792542-81796281 GCF_000001405.40 Homo sapiens | reverse complement strand
AGAAAGAAAAAAAGAAAGAAAGTTGAGTGTCTGAGGTTGGGTGGAGTGGCTCACACCTGTAATCCCAGCAGTTTGGGAGGCCAAGGCAGGAGGATCCCTTGAGCTCAGAAGTTCAAGACCAGCCTGGGCAACATAGCGAGACCTCATTTATACAAAAAAAAAAAAAAAAAAATACAAAATAGCCAGGCCGGGGGGGACAAGCCGGGAGGCCCCGGCACTGGGGCGGCTGGGGTAGGAGGATTTGCTTGAGCCCAGGAGGTGGAGGCTGCCGTGAGCCGAGATCGTGCCATAGCACTCCAGCCCAGGCAACAGAGCAACAGCCTCCCGAAGTGCTGGGATTACAGGCATGAGCCGATGCACCTGGCCGGTTTGTTTGATATTTTTATCCATACTAGTAGGTGTGTCATGATATCTCGGTTTTTTTTTTGAGGTGGAGTCTCGTTCTGTGGCCCAGGCTGGAGTGCAATGGCGCGATCTCGGCTCACTGCAACCTCCACCTCCCAGGTTCAAGTGATTCTTGTGCCTCAGCCTCCCGACTAGCTGGGATTACAGGCGTGCGCCACCATGCCCGGCTATTTTTGTATTTTTAGTAGAGACGGGGTTTCATCATGTTGGCCAGGATTGTCTCAATCTCTTGACCTCATGATCCGCCTGCCTCAGCCTCCCAAAGTGCAGGGATTACAGGAGTGAGCCACCGCACCCGGCCTTTCCTAGGGTTTTCGCAGACTCTCTTTATCAATTTGAAAATGTTTCCGTCAATCCATAGCTGCTGAGAGTTTTTATCATGAATGGATGTCAAAGTTCATCAAATTTTTATTTCTTTTTTAATGAGATGATCTTATAGTTTTTCTTTCTTAGTCTATTGCTATGGTTGAATTACATTGATTTACAAATGTTTTACCAACCTTGGATTTCTGAGATAAATCTCACTTGGTCATTATATATATATATATCCATATTTGATTTTCTAACATTTTATTAATAATTTTTTGTACCTATGTTCATTAAGGATATTTATGCAATTTTTTTTCCCTGTAATAAGGAAATGGCCCGGTTTTGGTACCAGGGTAGTGCTGATCTCATAAAATGAGCTGGAAAATATTCCCTCTTTTTCTATTTTTTTGGAAGTTTGTGTAGAATTTCTTTTTTTCTTTGAGATGAGGTCTTACTATGCTGCCCAGGTTGGTCTTCACCTCCAGGCTTCAAGCGATCCTCCTGTCTTGGCCTCCCAAAGTGTTGGGATTACAGGCATGAGCCACTACTCCCAGCCCTATTTGGTTTTTAAACACGTGCATGTGTTATTTTCATAGTATTTTTTTAAGTAAAGAGAAAAAAGAGCACCAGGTCACTCCTTGATGGAGTGCACTGCACTCCAGCCTGGGCAAGAGAGCAGGTGGAGAGGTCAGTCTAGCCACAGGCAGGCCTGGGAGGAGCTCCCTTTCTCTGGAGATTGTGCGAGGAAGCCCAGCCTCTGACCCGCCCTGCTGGGAGGCACCCCTTGGACACACTGCTCTCTCCGCCACAGCCAGTTCTGCTGGCCAGAGGCAGAGATTTAAAGCCACCTCTGAGGAAACTCCCCTTGCAGCTGGGCTCTTCAGTTGCGCCACCAGCCCCTGGGCACCCGGACCTGCCCCAGCATCTGGACGGCTGGCTGGGGAGAGGCCGTCACTCTGCATCTGCCCCTGCCCCTCCTACCTGCCCACGTCTGGAGACTGGCTTGTTCTGGCAGAGAATATGTATGTCTATGTGTCTATGTGTGTGTCTGTGTGTCTCTATGTGGGTCTATGTGTGTCTGTGTCTGTGTGTGCCTGTGCTTGTGTGCGTGCCCGTGTGTGTCTCTATGTGTGTCTTTGTGTGTCTCTGTTTGTCTCTATGTGTGTGTTTGTCTCTGTTTGTGTCTGTGTCTCTATGTTTGCCAGTGTGTGTCTGTGTGTGTATGTGCCTGTCTCTATATGTATCTGTGTGTCTGTGTGTCCCTATGTGAATCTGTGTGTGTGTGTGTCTGTGACTCTGTGTGTGTCTATGTGCATCTGTGTGTGTGTCTCTGTATGTAGGTCTCTATGTGTGTTTGTGTGTGCCTGTGTGTCTATGTGTGTCTCTATGTGCATCTGTGTCTGTATTTTTGTGTGTCTATGTGTGCCTCAATGTGCATCTGTGTGTGTCTCTGTGTGTGCGTCTGTGTCTATGTGCATCTGTGTGTGTCTGTGTCTATGTGCATCTGTGTGTGTCTGTGTGTGTCTGTCTCAATATGCATGTGTGTGTGTCTGTGTGCATCTGTGTGTGTCTCAATATGCATCTGTGTGCATCTGTGCATGTCGGTGTGTGTCTGTGTCCATCTGTGTGCGTCTGTGTGTGTGTGTCTCTGTGAGCCAATGGACTACGGAGAGTTTGGGCCAACCTTGGTGAGTCCCTTGGCCTGAGGGGCTGCCGTGGGCCTGAGCCTTGGGGCTGGGGCGGGGGGCTGAAGGCGCTGAGTGAGACTGGGGGACACGGCCTCCAGAGGTACTGAGACCCTGGGTGCGGTGGAGCTGCCTGCAGAGCCCGGGATCTGAGTGTGCCCAGCCCAGGAATCTGCAGGGGATGTGGCTCTTGACCCAAACTCTGTCTCTCCTTCTGTCGTGTGTGTGTCTGTGTGTCATGCGTGCGGTGTGTGTGCCATGTTTGTGTCTCGTGTGTTGTGTGTGTCATGTATGTCATGTATTGTCTGTGTAGTGTCTCTGTGTGTGCCCCGCGTGTGTTGTGTGGATGTGTCATGTGTGTTGTGTGTGGTGTGTGTGTATCGTGAGTGGTGTGTGTGGTGTATGTGTGTTGTGTGTGTGGTGTGCGTGTGTGGTGTGTGTGCATCATGTGTGGTGTGTGTGTATCGTGAGTGGTGTGTGTGATGTGTGTGTGTCATGTGTGTATAGTGTGTGTTTATGTGTTGTGTGTGTTGTGTGTGGTGTGTGTATTGTGTGTGCTGTGTGTGTGGCGTGTGGTATGTGGTGTGTGTTGTGTGTGTTCTGTGTGTGCTGTGTGTGTGGTGTGTGGTGTGTATTTGTGTTCTGTGTGTGTGAGATGTGTGTTTGTGGGGTGTGTGTGGGGTGTGTGTGTGGGGGGTGTGTGGTGTGTGTGTGGCGTTGTGTGTGGTGTGTGTGGTGTCTATTGGGTATTGTGTGTGTTCTGTGTGTAGTGTGTGTGATGTGGGTGTTTCTGGTGTGTGTGTGGTGTGTGGTGTTTGTGGTGTGTTTGTGGGTGTGTGTGGGTGTGTGTGTGGTGTGTGGTGTGGGTGTGATGTCTGTTGTATATGGTGTGTGTGATGTGTGTGGGGGTGGGTGGTGTGTGTGGTGTGTGTGTGGTGTGTGTTTTGTGTGTGTTGTGTGTGGTGTTTGTGGGGTGTGTGTGTGGTGTGTATTGTGCATTGTGTGTGTTGTGTGTGTGGTGTGTGTGATGTTTGTGTTTGTGTGGTGTGTGTGGTGTGTGTTGTGTATTGTGTGTGTTCTGTGTGTGATGTGGGGTGTGTGTGTGGTGTGTGTGTGGTGTGTGTTATGTATTGTGTGTTTTCTGTGTGTGGTGTGTGTGATGTGTGTGGGGTGTGTGTGTGTGGTGTGTGTGGTGTATTTGTGGGGGTGTGTGTGTGGTGTGTGTGGTGTGTGTATCTGTGGGGTGTGTGTGGTGTGTGGTGTGTATTGTGTTTTCTGTGTGTGATGTGTGTGTGGTGTGTGTGCTGTGTGTTTGGGGTGTGTGGTGTGTGTATTTGTGG